>NC_000005.10:161215869-161518899 GCF_000001405.40 Homo sapiens
CATTCATATATCCTCATATTCATGTTTATATATACTATATCAAATTATATATATTTATTTGATATACTACATGGCAAAACATGTGGGATACGGAATACAGCTAACGCTATCCTTAAAAGGAAATTTGAAGTTTTAAGTTCCTATAGAGCAAAAGAAGAAAGGATTATAATTGATAAGCTAAGTATTCATTTTAGGAATTTAGAAAAATAACACCAAATTAAGCCTAAAGAACATGGTAAGAAGAACAGTCTGGGCCGGGCGCGGTGGCTCACGCCTGTAATCCCAGCACTTTGGGAGGCCGAGGCGGGCGGATCACGAGGTCAGGAGATCGAGACCATCCCGGCTAAAACGGTGAAACCCCGTCTCTACTAAAAATACAAAAAAATTAGCCGGGCGTAGTGGCGGGCGCCTGTAGTCCCAGCTACTTGGGAGGCTGAGGCAGGAGAATGGCGTGAACCCGGGAGGCGGAGCTTGCAGTGAGCCGAGATCCCGCCACTGCACTCCAGCCTGGGCGACAGAGCGAGACTCCGTCTCAAAAAAAAAAAAAAAAAAAAAAAAGAAGAACAGTCTAAAGATATGAGAAGAAATTAAATGGAAAACATACCATGCAACAGAAGAATCAACAAAGTCAAAAGTTGTTTCCTTGCAAAGACTATGAAGTTGGTAAGCCTTTAGGTGAGACCCATTCTCACATACACACACACACACACACACACACACACACACACACACACAATGAAAAGAGGGTCCTCACTACAGATTCTACAGACATTGAAAACAAAGAAACAAAAACCTAAACTAAATATTATAAAGAAGGCATGAGATTCTTTTTATATTTTTAATCCACCGGGCGAGTGCTTTTTTTTTTGAGACAGAGTCTCACGCTGTTGCTCAGGCTGAAAGTCATACTATCTAGGCTCACTGCAACCTCCACCTCCTGAACTCAAGCAATTCTCCCACCTCAGCCTCCCAAGAAAATGGAACTAAAAGTCTGCATCACCATGCCCAGCTAATTTTTCTATTTTTTGTAGAGACAGGGTTTCACCATGTTGCCTAGGCTGATCTTGAATGCCTAGTGTCAAGCGATCTGCCTGCCTTGGCCTCCCAAAATGCTGGAATTACAGGCGTGAGCCAGCACACCAAGCCAGAGAGTGCTTTTAAAAGACTGAAGATAATTGATGTTTATGTCACAAAGGCAATTTATAATGGGCCTATTTGTGGGACAAGCTGAAAAATAAATGGTGCTACATAAGCCCTCTGTTCCTGAGGTAGAAGATTCATAAACACAAAAGTCAAATGACTGAGAAGATGCTTTGGACCATATATTATGTATCATGTGGCAATAAATGACATAACCTCTTTCTTCAGCAGCAATTTCGTGTTTCTCTCTTGTAATTCAAAGTTTATGAGAACTGAGAGGTTCAGAAAGGCCAGGAATCT
The DNA here is from genome assembly GCF_000001405.40 of Homo sapiens. NCBI lineage: Eukaryota > Metazoa > Chordata > Mammalia > Primates > Hominidae > Homo > Homo sapiens. The sequence goes on from NC_000005.10 coordinate 161,217,310, forward strand.
TGCCTAAGGTCACCCAACCTGTATAAGATGGCTTCATCTCAAATAGGTTTATCTGCTTGTAAATATAATATTCTTTGTTGTAGTTTAAAATCCATTCACCTCATTAATATGTAATTATGGTTTTATGTTGGTTTTAGACTAAGGAACTGAATACAATTAATTTGAAATTTTGAAATTAATTTGTATTTTAATATTTTGCTTTAAGTTTCATATTTTCAATAATAGGTGGGCTTAAGTATAAGACTTATTCAAGGCTAATTTTGCATCACTTCTGGTTCAGCTTTCAGACTTTTTCAGTTCTTCAATAGGGCCCCCCAGAAAATCATCTCTAGGGAAGAAAGTTGGAAGGGACACCAATCTTACTCTCATTCTTTCTTGCTAGTACAAGAATGAAAACAAGTTAACAGGTATAACTGTTTTTCTCTTTCTGCTAGGCTGAATGACCCAAGGGTATTTTTTTTCTTTTTTTTTAAAGAGAACTCTATCTACTTAGGTCTAAATATGGTTCTTAAAAGCAATTTTTAAAATATAAGGCATTGTATTTGCTAAAATTCAAAGTGATATATGGGGAAGGCCAAAATCCCAGCACAATGTCAAAGAGCACAAGAAAGAATAACTGAATTCAAACACAACATGATAAGGAATAGAATGAGTGCCCAGTATGGAAAAGTAAAAAGACTAAAAATGACCAATAGGGCTGAACCCTTCTATTCACAGAAAAGAGGGTGATTTCTCAAAAAGACAAGAATGAACAACTCAGCTAGGTGTTCAGCAATGGGCTTACATGAGCCCAAACTAACTTATTTTACTCGATACATGTTTACTGACCAATAACTATGTGTTCAGCACTTATTTAATCATTGGAAAATAAGTAATGACCAAATCAGAACAGGGCATGTTTTTGAAGCTTGTATTTTTAGCATTTTAAGTGAGAGGATCAAACAATAATTAAACACTTAAATATATATATATATATATTTATATATACACACACACATATACATACATAAACACACACACACATATACACATACTAGGTCAATTATAAGGGCAATGAAGAAGCATAAATCATGGTGATGAGGAGAACTGAATGAGGGTGGAATAATGCTAATTTATACGGAATCAATGATATACCCACTACAGCTATGATATTTGCATAAAGGCATCAGTGAGGTGAGGGAACCAACTACATGAATATCAGGGGGAATATTATTGAAGGCAGAGGAGAGAGAAAGTGCAAAGGCCCTGCGGCAGAAGCCTGCTCGACATATTCAAGGAACATTGAGAAAGCCAGTGTGGCTGAAATGGGGCAAACTAGGTGGAAAGTTACAGGAACCAAAGTAGGAGAGGCACCAGGGAGAGGAGTCAAGCTGACTCCAGGGATCTGAGCTTGTTACTACTACAAGGATTTGAATGCAAGACTATCAAATAATATTTAAATAAGGTGATATATTTAATAAATAATAGAAAATGCATAATGATAATAAATAAAGTGATTTGAAGTGAGATTATTCTGGTTCATGTAGAAATTTTAAGTTATTTGCATTTTTGCACTAGTATAAAATGGTGCTGCCATGAATGTAACCCTGTAGATATATTTTTTCCTATTCACAATTTAATATCCCATTTTTTTCTTTTGGAAGGGTTTGCATTTTAGCCTCACGTATTACTTTTCAATGAGGACAAAATGAATGGGGTGATTTTCAGAGAAGTCAGACTTTCCCATGTTGAAAATGGGAGAAAACTACAATTATCAACAGTATGCTATCTTTAAGGTTAAGAGATATATCACACGATTCCATTTATCACCCCACCAAATATTTAATAAAAACCTATTAAAACTGGAGATTTGGGAGGAATACAAACTTAACTGAAACACAACGTAGGCTTTGATTTTTCAATGTCATGCATTGACATGTTATTGAAGTAGTCTCTGTACTTGAAATTGGAGTACAATTATTTTAGAATTTTGCTAGTGTAATGAAATTCTAATCATACTTAGAGTCAACATATTGGGGTTTAACCTCAGTCTTTAATATCTACTGGCTTCAACCTTGAGCAATGTAGTTATTTTCTGTTTTCTAATTTGCAAAAGAAGGCTGATGAAATATTATTATACTAATAGGATAACCTAAGATAAGATGATTAGAAATAATAGTTTGTTAAAGGAAGTTCAATAATAACATCAATGATTCTGCTAATGAGGGAAACAGTTCAATGTGGGGATTAAATGTACTTGGGTTTAAATCCTAGCTTTTGTGCTGGGATTAACTTTGGTCAAATTCCTTAATTTTTCAAGCCTCAGTTTTTCTAAAGTAAAATAAGGATAATTATGACAACTACTTGTCAGAATTGCGGAGAGACCATTTTTTTGCTAAAGACATTTTTGAATGTCCATGAAGTATTTAACAGAGTGTCTAGCACACCTTAAATATTCAGTAAATTTTAGCTATTAAGGGTGATGAAGATGATAATTATAATGATGATTATACTACTCATGAGCCATAACTGTAATCAAAAGAAAACACTTCTGGCTGATTTAAGGTGAGAGAAATAGAAGTGATGTTGGCAGCTCACAAAGCACAGGGTGAAAGACTAGAAAATCGGGTCCTGAAAACAGGCAAGAACAACTAGGACCTAAGTTACCCACATCACAGGCAAAGTCACTACAGAACCAGGTGGTGAGTACAGCAATGAACATGTGACGTCATGCTTTGTGCTGCAGCCACTAAAGGAACAAAGCAGAGATAGTACCAATTTTGCCATCAATACCACTGGAAATCTGTTTGCTACTCCTCGCTTGTCCCTCTTTCTCTGAGTCACTAGTTTCCATCTGAAAGTTCCGGGTTATTGCTTTTGATAAGCAAAACCTAGGTCATATGTTTGTGTCTAACCTCTTAGAGGCATAAAGAAAATCCTCATTTAGATCTTGTTTCTCCCTTAGGAGTTCATAAGATAAGTGTTGTTCAACACAGGAAAAAACTTCTAATTCTGGGAAGCCAGAAAAAAAAATCCACTAAAATTTTGAGGATTATAAATAGTGAAGATGACATACCTTCATGATAATTAGAGATTGCCCTGAATGGCAGCAGAAATGAGCCACTTGTCTGAACTTTGCTTGCTCTTGCTTTTGTCACCACATAGCTGATGCTTTTTGCTCTCTGCTTTTCTCGGGACCATGTTGTAAATATTAGCAGAGAGCCTTTTGGATGCCCTGTGAACCCTACTATTTCCTCGTGGTAGAAGATGGCATAGACAGGCCTTCTTCGTATAAATCATCACTTTTATAAGAGCATTATCCTTTGACAGGATGCAGGAACAATAGACCAAGTAGCACACCTTTGTTTTATAGCTAATATTCATAATAAATCATTTTAAATCCATTATTTAAAAAGTGAAATGATCAATATATACCTGATACTGCTGTAGTATAACCTAGAATAATAATTTAAAGTTTTGGGTAAATTCTACAGAATTCTTCTCTGGATCCCAACATGTAAGCACTCCTTTTTGGTTGCCAGGCCTTCAGTTTTCAACTTCCACGAGAGCAATATGCACTGTGTTACTCATCATTACCATTCAGGAGTGACTCTGGAGACCTCCTAGTTTCTGAGTGAGTGGCATCCACTGTAGTACATCACTCAGTTTAAAAAATGTGATATTCTACAATATCTTATTTGTCTGAAAAGAAAAATACTTTTCCTAAAAATATATCCTGTAAAAAAATACCCTGCAAGTCCCACGTGTCTATGGTTTAAGTGATTTTAAAATGGTAAAGTTATTTCAATCAGGTTGCACTCTTTGCTGCTTCCATGTTCCCCTTGTTAATCAGTCTGGTGTTTGGGGTCATTATTTTCTGGATTTTCTTGTTTGTGTTATGTTGTTTTGTTTTGTTTGCTTTCCTGATTCCAGAGGTGCCACTGAGAGGCTGCGAAATGCCTTTTGACAGTCTAATGGGCGAGGAGAAAATGATTTGGAGTCCAAAGACTCCCAGTTGTGGATAAGTCTGGTGTAACCTCTCTCTTTGGGTAGTGTTGCCAGATGAATGCAGAATTGTACAGCCTTTATAGATATTTCAGCTCAGAATAGAATACTCCCAATCCCTGAAATTAGATTGAGGTGATCACAGAGTGCCAATGCTTCAAGGCATTCTATAGTATTAGTCCTCATAGGCCAAATGTAAGTCTTTCCTAAAGAAAGATAACATCTTCCTGGAGTTCAAATCATTTATAAAATATTTTTTCAGACAAAATGCCTAGCACACATTATAAAATAACAAGGTACATAGCAGACTATGCAACATTGATGACATTGGACAATATAAACAGACACAGAGTCTTCAGTCATGAGTGTCTTGAAGTACAGACATTTAAATAACATTTACATTTAAAGAAATTGATGCAAAAAAGATTAAAAATGGACAGTTTTGACTGAGAACTGGAAACTAAAAAAAATTTCAAAAACAGAGAATAAATAATGTGAAATAAAAGACTGAAAGGATAAAAGCATAAGTAAAAAAACCAGAAAAAAAATTGATATACCAGAAGGTAGGTAAAAATAAATAAATAAAATAGCCAGAATAAAACACAGAAAGACAAAAATTGGTAAAATTTAAAAGAATAAGAGGTGGTCAATTGTCATGTACATGTGTAATAAATATTCCAGGAGAGGAGAAAGATAAGAACAATATTTGCAAAGATACTGGCTGAAAATGTTCAAAAAGTATAGACATTCGGTCACAGGGCAGGTTATACAGTTTTACACACTTCGAGCAAGATAAACAGTAAGAAACCTATCTCTACACACATTATAGTAAAAATGTTCCCAACCAAGAAAAAATATAAATGTAGCCAGAAAAAAACCTTTAAAGCAGCAACAAAAGAACTGACAGCTGACATTTCAACAAATATACTGTAAGATCAAAGTCAATAGAAGCAAATGACCTTTTAAAATTGTGGACCCTCAATTCTATAATCAGCAAAAAGTATTATTCAAGAATAAAAGCAGAATTAAGACACTGTCAGACATAAAAACGTCAAAGGAATTAGTCACTATCAGGTCTGTACTAACATAAATACAAAAAGATGTTCTTTGTGCAGAAGGAAAAGGATCTCATAAGAATGGTCAAAGACGAAAAAAAATAAAGAGCAGTGAAAAGGTAAAAAATGTGGGCAATTATAAATAAACATTGATAGTGCAACATAATGTTAATAATATTTTGTTGAGTTTAAAATACACGTAGAATTGAAATATGTTAAAATTATATAAATTAAGAACAAGGTACACCAAATAAAAACATTCTGAGGTCTTTAAGATGATAAATAATTATTAATGTTAGAGTTTAATAAGTTAAAAATACATGCAAATCTTTAGAGACAATACTATCTATCTATCTATCTATCTATCTATCTATCTATCTATCTACAGTGAAAGACTACATATCCTTCAAGATAGGAGAGGAAGTAAAATCCCAAACAGATCAATAATGAATAACAAAATTGAATCTATAATTTTAAAAACCTACCAATCAAATAAAAAGTCCTAGACCAGATGAATTTACAGCTGAATTCTATCAGACATATAATGAAGAGCTGGTACCAATCATACTGAAACTCTTCCAAAAAATAAGGAGTTACCTCTTTCTAACTCATTCTATTAAACCAGTTTCATTCTGATACCAAAGTCTTGCAAAAACACAACAAAAAAAGAAAACTACAGGCCAATATCCCTGATGAACATAAAAACAAAAGTCTTCAACAAAATACCAGTAAACCAAATCCAGCAGCTCATCAAAAAGTTACTTCACCACAATCAAGTGGGCTTTACTCTTGGGATGGAAGGATAGTTCAACACACGCAAATCAATAAATGTGATTCACCACATGAACAGAATTAAAAACAAAACCATAGAATCATCTCAATAGATGCAGAAAAAGCATTCAATATATCCAAAATCCTTTATGATAAAAATCCTCAATGAAATAGGCATAAAAGGAACATACCTCAAAATAACAAGAGTCATCTATGATGTCCACTCTCACCATTGCTATTCAATATAGTACTGGAAGTCCTAGGCAGAGCAATCAGGCAAGAGAAAGAAATAAGCATCCAAACAGAAAAAGAGAAAATCAAATTACTTATCTTCACTTAGGAGATGATTCTATAACTAGAAATCTCTAAAGATTTTGCCAAAAGACTTCTCTAACTGATAAATGACTTTAGCAAAGTCTCAGCATACAAAACCAATGTATGAAAATCAGTAACATCTCTATAAATCAATAATGCTAAAGCTAAGAGCCAAATCAACAACACAATCCCATTTACAATAGCCACACAAAAAAATACCTAGAAATACACCTACACAAGAAGGTGAAAGATCTCTACAAGGAGAGCTACAAAACACTGCTGAAAGAAATCACAGATGACACAAACAAATGGAAAAGCATTCCATGCTCATGTGTTGGAAGAATTGATGTTCATACTGCCCAAAGCAATCTACAGATTCAGCGTTATTCCTATCAAACTAAGGATATCATTTTTCACAGTATTAGAAAAAAACTATTGTAAAGCTCACATTGAACAACAAAAAAAAGAAGCCCAAATAGCAGAGAAAATCCTAAGGAAAAAAAAAAACTGAAAACATCCCATTACCTGAATTCAAACTATGATACAGGGATACAGGAAACAAAACAGCATGGTACTAGTGAAGAAATAGACACGTAGACTAATGGAACAGAAAGGAGAACACAGAAATAGAGCCACAAACCTACAACCAATTCATCTTCAACAATTGACAAAAATAAACAATGGGGGAAAGATATCCTATTCAATAAATGGTGCCAGAAAAATTGACTAACCGTATGCAGAAGAATGAACCTGGACTCCTACCTCTCATTATATACAAAAATTACCTCAAGATGACTTAAACACTTTAATGTAATGCCTCAAACTATAAAATTTCTAGAAAAAAAATCTAGGAAATACTCTTCTAGACACTGGCCTACGCAAATAATTTATAATGAAGACCTGAAAAGCAAATGCAACAAAATAAAAAATAGACAAATGGGACTTAATTAAACTAAAGAGTGTCTGCATAGCAAAAGAAACTCTCAACAGAGTAAACAATCTGCAGAATGAGAGAAAATGTTCTCAAACTATGCATCCGACAAAAGATTAATATACAGAATCTATAAGGAACTTAAACAAATTATTAAAAAAATCAAACAACCTCATTAAAAAGTGGGCACAGGACTTGAACAGACACTTCTCAAAAGAAGACATACAAGCAACCAACAAACATGAAAAAATATTTAACCTCACTAACCATCAGAGAAATGCTAATCAATACCACACTGAGATACTATCTCACAGCAGTCAGAATGGCTATTACTAAAAAGTCAAAAAATAACTGATTTGGGCGGGGTTGCGGAAGAAAGGGGAACACATACAATATTGGTGGAAATGCAAATTAATTTAGCCCCTATGGAAAGCAGATAGGAGATTTCTGAAGAACTAAAAATAGAACTACCATTTGATCCAGCAATCCCATTACTATATATATAGTAATGTATATATATAATAATTTTATATATATAATGCATATATATATAATATTTATTTTCCTATAAATAGTTGTACCAGAAAGACACATGCTATTCACAACAGCAAAGACATGGAATCAACCTAGGTGCCCATCAACAGCGGACTGGATTTTTTTTTTTTTTTTTGATGGAATCTGTCTCTGTCTCCCAGACTGGAGGAGTGAAGTGGGGCGATCTTGGCTCACTGCAACCTCCTCCTCCCAGGTTCAAGTGATTCCCCTGCCTCAGCCTCTTGAGCAGCTGGGATTATAGGTGTGTGCTACCACAGCCAGCTAATTTTTGTATTTTTAGTAGAGATGGGGTTTTGCCTTGTTGGCCAGGCTGGTCACGAACTCCTAACCTCTGGTAATCTGCCCGCCTTGTGGATTTTTTTTTTTATGTGATACATATACACCATGAAATACTACACAGCCATAAAAAGGAACAGGAGTGATGGGCTTCAGAATCCTTGTCTTATTCCATTTCTCAAGGGGAATGCTTCCAGTTTTAGCCATTCAGTATGCTACAATTGGGTGTGAATCCATTTATTATGGGCTTTTTTTGGTTGGTAACCTGGGGTGACTAAGACAAGGTCCTCTATATTTTTAATGATGGTTTCATCACTTGAACTGTCTTGCATTGATGGGTATGTTCAAGTAAACTATTATTAGTCTGTTTTTCCTATTTCTTTTTTTAAATTTGTTTTAAGTTCTGGGGTACATCTGCATGGTGTGCAGATTCGTTACATAGGTAAATGTGTGCCATGGTGGTTTGTTTCACCTGTCAACCCATCACCTAGGTATTAAGCCCAGCATGCATTAGCTCTTTTCTCTAATGCTCTCCCCAGATCCCCACGCTTCCCCGACAGGCCCCAGTGTGTGTTTTTCCACTTCCTGTGTCCATGTTTTTCCTATTTCTATTGGCAATACCTGTGGTTTCTTCTCCCTGAAACTTGCAGCTGTAGTATTTTGGTACATAGATACTAATAATCGTTAGATGTTATTTGTGGACTGTGGTTTTCATTTCTATAAAATATTCTTTTCTGCTTGATTTTATTTTTGGCCTGATGTTTTTCTTGTTTGATAGCAAGACAATGACACTTGATTTCTTTGCATATGAATTTCTCTAGTATATCTTTGCTGTCTTTTTACTTATACGTCTTGAGATTCCCTTTGTTAAAGTTATGCATCTTATACCCAACATCAAATTGTATTTTGCTTTGTTAGTAAATTTGAAAATATTTTTATTCAGATAAGGGACTCCATTAAGTGTATTGGCATGACATAACGTCTGTTCTTGTTTCTGATTTTTTTTTTATGATTTACTTAAAGTCTTTTACTGAGGTCTATTTTCCTTTTGAAAAAACAATTTTAATAGGATAATTTGAATTTTTATTGTCTTCATTCCTTTGGTTTCTCTTTAATTTTAATACTTTCTATAGTTTTCTACTACAAGTCATAATGAATTAATAACTACTTCTTTCGTCTCCTGGCTAAAAGTGGGATAACTTGAGCATTAAAAAGAATGAGGGTGGAAATTCTTTTTTGTAACTATATAACAGTTATCGTGTCAGCAGGCCCCATGCTATGGAAAAATATACAAGACTTAAAAGTTAGTTTATGCAATAGAAAATAGTGAAAAAAGAAAAAAGATGGAGTTACCTAAAAATTAAAAGATAATTAGGAGACATAACCATTTAAAGTGCATTGGCCTTATTTGGATCCCAATTCAAACAAAATGTAAACATGCATACCTACATTTATAAGAGAATTAGTGAAATAGAAAACTGACTTTATCTGATGATTTTGAAAAATTATTTTTAACTTTGATTAGTTGCCATAATGGTAGTGTAGACGTGATTTTATTTTTAAATGGGTGTCTTTTTTATAAGCTATACATACAAATACTACAGAAAGATATAAAACATGAATTTGCTTGTAAATCATGTGGTTTGGGGGATGTAGAATGTGGACCTATAGGAAAAATATAATTGCTATAAATTATAAATTGCTTAAGCTGGGAGATAAACACATGGATTTATGATTTATTATTCTCTCAATAATTATATACATTTGCAGTTTTCAAAAAAGAAAAAAAGAATAATTACTGCAATTCAGTAGAAGGCATTAGTTATGCTTTAAAAGCTACAAATTCATAAGACATATCTCCTACTCACCAAAATAAGGAGATACAGGAACAAAATATATGTCACTGAGAACCACAGAAGATTGCTAGGATTTCAACCATTCGGTATAACACTGGTAATTAAAGGGAAATAAATAAGTATTTATCATGCTTTTGCCTTTGACCTTGACCCCCAGGGGATTAAATAGCCGAAGTGAATGAGGGACATTTCTTTTTATAAAGAATTCCAGTCTCAAACTTCTGGGTTCTAGCAATCCTCCTGCCTTGGCCTCTCAAAGTGCTGGGATTACAGGCATGAGCCATGGTGCCTGGCTAATAAAAAAAAAAAGGAAGAAAGAAAAGAAAAGAAATGAAAATCCAGGTAATAAATGCAAAAGCAATGATAGAATTAGAAAAAATACATCGCTTTACAATCCATGATAACATAGATGATTCAAGTAAATGGTCATCAAATAATGGTGAGCCATTAAGTGAAAGATTAATAAGGCACTTTATAATGAAAGAATCAGGTTGTCTCCATCCATAATTATTGATCAATCTTAGTACCACTAAAAGTGAGACATGTATCTTGTCATATGATGCAATAGAAAAGATATGATACCACAATGAATTTTGAAAAATTCAAATTCTGCATTTCATTGTACAGAAAATACAGTTATAATAAATAAGTTCAAGTATACAATAAGGACACAATCTGAAACATCCAGAATGTGGAGTAGCACTTCATATTTGAATGCTTCAACACATCAGTAGCATCAAAAGTAGAAGAGGAAGAATTGTTCTATCTTAAAAGAAACTTACGAGTCCTAACCACTCAATACAGTTTAGTGAGCCCTGCTTAAATGCTAATTTGAACAGACTGAATATAAAAAGACATTTTTTAGACAATTAAGGATATTTGAGTTTAGATTTGGTATTAGATGGCATTAACAAATTTATGTTGATTTTGTTTTGTGTGATAAGGCATTAAGATTGTATAAGAAAATGTCATTTTTGAGATGCACATTAAAATACCTTGAAGTTAAATGATGCTACACCTGAAATTTGCTATAAAATATTCCAGAAAAAAACCTCAGAGAATTAGTCGAGATAATAAAGCAAAAATATTGATGGCTATTGAAGTTGGGTAATTAGGAGATGGGGGTGATATTTATGTTCTATTTGGGATATATTTAGAAACTTCTAAAATAAACATGTGTTAAATGGTCAAAGTTAAAAAATATAAGATTTACAAACAAATCATGATGGCTGAGACAGATGTTAAATCAGCCTTTAACACTTTGCTAATGAAGCCATTAATCCTTATGTCCAACCCTTGAAACATATATACACATACACACATTTGCAAATCCAGAGTTATATGTTCCTTTTTGGAGATTTTGCCTTATAATTTTATCAATTCACAGAAGTTGAGGAGGAGACTAAATCACAACTGCCTTTGACAATCAGTTTGAAGTCTGACATTTGGTGATAAAGAATAGGCAAAAAGTCAGAACATATATGCCCTCAAAGACTTTCATGTTTTCCAAAACAAACCTGAATCATGCAAGCAAAATGCAAAAGGAACTGTTCAATGACCTAAAATATACAAGAGAAAGGCAACACATGCATGTATATACAGAATATGTAAAACCTATGCAATGCCTTTGCAAGACAAACACTACTTTTCATTGAAGTCATGAGAAATCTGAGTAATCACTTGAGAAGATCTTTTTATTTCTTCTTATTTTTTTGAGTAGTCAAAGGTTTTATTTTTCTATGATCCAAACCGAATCTTATGAGACAAAGAATAAGAAATCATGAGTTTGATAGGCCTTTTTGCCTCTTATTTGCTGGGTGAGCCTTGCATGCTAAATCCGTACGATGAGTATAATGACAATTGCTTCATTCATTTGTGAGGATTAAATAATAAGTACAGAATAAATTAAGTGCAGTACCTGACACATTGGAAGTCTTCACTGACAGGGAGTGCTTAAACAGGGATATCTGTTTATGATGTCTGTAGCAGACATCTCTTTTGATTTTGCTTGCCTGGAATGAATTTTTCCTTCCTCAGGCTGCGACATTTTTATTTTCCTTTGGAAACATTTCTTCTGTACTTCTCATCCTTGGTCACTATTCTCTCATTCCAGGTATAGGCATTAGTTCCAGGTATGACCAAACACATCCTTCCTGTACATTGGCTATAGCAAGTTTTCCCAACTTCGGCACTATTGAATTTGGAGCTGAGTAATTCTTTGTTGTGAGGGGCTAACCTGTGCACTGTAGAATGTTGAGCAGAAACCCTATCCTCTAACCTACTAGATATTGGTAACACACCCAAGTTGTGAAAACCAAAACTGTCTCCAGGCATTGCCACATGTGTGAAATTGCTCCCAGTTGAGATCCCTGGACAACAGTGCTTGACTCTGGGATGCAGGATGTAACTCAAGTCCATCCAACTAGAGTCAATCATTACAATTACTGTATAGGAGATGCACTGTTTCTGCTGGGTTTGCTCAGCCAAGGGATCATAACATTGGAACTACAATGGATTTCTTTTCACTATGTGGCAAGGCCTTTCCTAAAACTAAAAGAGTATAGTCCAGAGATGGAGAAAGAGGAAAAAAACGTAGTTTTGGTGACCTTGTTTAAAAGCTTGTGCGTAGCCATTTCTGAAACAAGATATTCCTGGACTGTTTTTTAATAACAAGAAATAACACATCCCATTTAATTCCTAAGTCAGTAGGAATTGCAGCTGCAGGTCTGGAGTGGGATCTCAGATTCAGTATTCTGTGAGGCAACCTAAGATTATCAGTTTTTAACATTTTCATGACAGGGAACCTTATTAAAATATGAAAAAATGTTGAAGTCTTTCTCTTACAACATGTAGATAAAACATAATTTTATATCAATTTCAGGAGACTCAGGGACAGCTCCCCAAAGCCCTAAATATAGTGAATTTCAGGTGTGAGTTTGAGAGTTACAAGTTCTGAAACCTGTTCTGATGCCAGGACATAGCCTAATAGATTCAGACACATTGAATTATTCAGTTGGTGCAAAAGTAATTGCAGTTTTTGATGGTTACTTTTAATGGCAAAAACCACAATAACTTTTGCACCAACCTAGTATGTTTCTATTATCATTTTTCTTTCTTAAAGACACAGACTGAGAGTACAAAGACATGTTTCATTGTCCCTAGAGCCTCCATTCTCAGTGTCAAAGCCAGAAGATGATCAGGATGAAAAAGACACTATTCATTTCCCTTGTATTAAGAAAAAGAGAGAGATAGCCTTATGCCTCACAATGGTAATTACTGCCTGCCACACTAAAAAAGCTTTAACAATCAGTAGGAACTTCATTGAGCCTTCTCTGGGCTGCTGGCAGTAAGACTGTACCACATGACCCCGTGCAGCTGGGAACAGCACAGGAGAGTAAATACAGCTGCCTGTGAGTCGTCCTATTTCAACTCACCTTGAGCAATGACGAAGCTGGGAGATATTTTTTTCTTTCACCTAAGAATTGGAGCATCAAATAGGAGGCCTTCTCAGCTCTCCACTTTGGGAAGAGCCTGGGGATTTACCAAGCAGCTTGAAGTAACCTTCTGCTTTACCTTTGAAATAGGTCTTTTCCCCCGTGGCCTGCTAGCTCCAGCAGAAACTCCTACCCTTTGGTTTTTATGAGGGGGGAAAAGAAAAAGGTGTCAGTAGTTTCAGGCACAAATCTTATGGTGGACGTTTCAGGCACAGGTCCGAAGGCTGGGCTTCTGAATTCCTTACTGGCACTACACACATTTCTGCTACGTAGCTCATGTGACTTCTTTGTGATGTAAGGTTCAAACGGATAGCCTTGTTTAATCTCTACCTTACTTGTAATAGCCTCCATTATTTCTACATCTCAGTTTTTCCATCTTTACAAGGGGAAGTGATTTCATTAGAAAACCTATGTCCTTAATATCACAGTGATCAGGGCAGAGTGGGGACTTGGTCATTGAGTTCTAACTCTGTGTAAGTAACTCCGTAAGTGTTCCTTATGCATTATCTCATTTAGCCTCTACCACAACCCTTTGGTAGGTAATGCTGTTATCCCATTTGAGAGGAAAGTGAAGCACAGTGATGGTAGATGATCTGCTTGCAGCTACGTAACTATATGATGGGAAGCCAAGCTTCTAACCAGGCCTCAGACTACTTTTTCACCTTCTTGTCAATGTTACCTGCTGGATTTTAGATCCTGTCCTTGGTAGCCAGATGTTCCTGACAACTACTTTTAAGGTTTGACATGAAAATCAATGTTCCATTATGCAGCATCTTTAACCAAGCACCTCAAAGGGATGTTGTTGGCACTGTGTACCTATAACCCCAGTGTCAGACACCTGGAGGAGCAGGGCCTTTCAGCCTGCTGAAGTTATCTTGATCCTTGGCTTTTGACGTATAGCTGGAGTCCCAAGTATTATATGGTGAAAAATTCAGCGTCTTCCTCACTATCTTTGTGGTTTCTTGTGAGAGTCATGTTTCTCCTGGTTATCTTATTTGGAATCTCTACTTCCATTAATCTGTATCTTTCTCATGTCTCTTCTTGTGGCTATTTCCTTTTCTATGCTCTTCATTAAACAACGTAGAATATTAAAGAAAAGGGCTCTTTAATTTAATTTCTTTAATTTCTCCCTGTACCACTTAAATACTTTATGTAATAGATTTTATTGTTTGAGATGCAGGATAAACATAGGGGAAGTTGTATTATCTTAAAAATTTTTCAGTCCCTTTAGTTTTAAGTGGCAATGATTTGGCAGGAAATGGCACAATTTTCAAATTCCCATTCTTAAAGACTGACATCAGTAACCTGCTATACTGGTACCTTGTTCTTTACTGCTTTGCCAAACACCAAAATAAATTAATGCAATAATGACAAATCTAGGTAAATTCATACCTGTCCAGTGGAAAAGGAGAAAAATAAACTTTTTCTAATTACCTAAACCATGTTTATTCTCTTCAATCTTATAGCTAAGAGATTTGGGAGTATTATTTGGTTAAAAAATGGGACTAAATGAAATCTGCAAAGGCTACTGATTTTCCCTGTGATAACAATGAACTTGGGAGTATGATTGCTTTCTAGAAATCCAGCTGATAGAAATCCAATGCAACAATCTATATGCAGAATTTATTATTTATTTGTTGAACTTTCAAACCTGCTAAAAGTATAATACCTCCTTTATCTGTTGCTTTGTCAAATTTGAATCTTATCAGTGTAACCAGTACTACTTTCATTTATTTATATAAACTGTAAGACTTGAATGTGTCTATGGGTTGTTGTGGGGTAAGAGGTAGCTATTAGATGGTATTTTAGTGAAGAGATCCTGGAATAAAATATTCTTGACCCAAGTTACAGCCTTCCTTCCTCTCTGTGTGTTTTCCAGTAAAACTACAAGCTGGAAAAAAAAAAAAATCAAGTATCCCTTTAAGATGGGCTTAAACTTTAGAAGTGGAACTTTCCATTTAACCATAACCTTGCCTTACAGTACAGGCACAAGGAGGCACTCCTTTTTCCTAATCCCAAACATTCATCTTCAGCCTCTAGCTTTCTGCCTCCTATTGTCATAACAGAAGAGATCAGAGAGAGGAAAGGAGAAGAAGGTAACTGATCTGTGTACTGCTCTTCTGATATAGTGACCCTATGTCCTAGGGAACCCTGTGTAACAAATATTCCAGAATCTGACAAAATTCTCTTCTCTTCTTGGTTTATAAAGGATAGGTGTGAGAAAGAGAAGAGGAATGTAAGTGTTCTATGTGCTGCTCTTCTGATATAGTGATCCTATGTCCTCTAGCTTTCTGCCTCCTATTGTCATAACAGAAGAGATCAGAGAGAGGAAAGGAGAAGAAGGTAACTGATCTGCCTACTGCTCTTCTGATATAGTGACCCTATGTCCTAGGGAACCATGTGCAACGAATGTTCCAGATTCTGACCAATTCTCTTCTCTTCTTGGTTTATAAAGGACAGGTGTGAGAAAGACTTCCCCTGAAGAGAAAAAAAGTTTCTTCCCAGTCCCTCTCCCCACCTCTGCTATTGCCTTCACTGTAGTCCTTCACAAATAAGGAATATGAAACACTTACATGACCTAAGATAAATGCACCCTAATTTATTTTCATTATCTTGTTTTCAGTCACTTCTTTTTCCAGTGAAAAAGGAATTAGGTTGATAAGAACACAGCTAGTGCAAAATATGTCAGCCAATAAGATACCAATTTTGAAATCTATTACATAGGTGAGCATGAAGGAGTAATTTATCATGCTATATTTTAATAATTAATGTACTCTGGGAAGCTGTGAAAAAGCCACTCTCTGGGAGGCACTGGTATTTTGAGGCTCCATTCCTAATATTCCATGTGATTAATAAGCACAGTGAAATTTAATTCAAAGTACTTTGCATATTAGAAAAAAGACCTACACATATACCATGAAAATGAGATTTAAAGGAGACAGTTACCACCAGATAAGTTTGTAAATGAATTATTCCTACCAATTTGCAGCTTTTTAAAAGCTTTTATAGTTAGGTTCTTTGGCTCTAGGAGGTATATTAGGGATGTGAAAATATGTTTGTGGAACACAGCCATGACCAAAAGATGCTATTGAATTTTCCTTCTGCTTTATGCATATATTCATGGAGATAAAATTTGATTACCAAACTGGCCCACAGCAGATTGAAGTGGGAGAAAATTAATTTTGGGGGAACTCCCCACTTCCTCTTTATGAACCTTTTGCTCTTTTTGTGACAGTGAGCTATCACCTTTCTTTTTGCTGATCACAATCTGCTCTAGAGAAAATCTAGGATATAGATCATTTTCAAATAGTTTAAATTTTAGTTCCTGTATTTCCCACCCAAAGGGGATTTTTATGTCTTGAGATTTTGACGTTATAGCTTATTGAACAACTTCAAGCACCAAAAAGCAGATGGAGAAGATTTTCTTAGATAGAAGGATCTTTTTACTTCCCACTATATTTAAACAAAAGTTAGAGACTATTTACCTAGTTTTAGTTTTGTTGAAATAATGAAAGAATTTTCATATTGCTGTTTAAAACAACACATTACCTTAGGGTGACAAGGTATTTTCTTCTCATTTAATACATAGCTTTAACCCTAACAAAATGGCTTTTCAATGGCCTTGTAAATACAGCTTTTATTCCTGAACCCCTTTGGCAAATTTCTTTATTCAGAGTTCAGGGGGATTGAGCGGCTGAAAGGGACTTACTGTGATATTAGAATACATCAATTCCACCAACCACAACTCATTTTGGTGATACTTACAAAATGGATATCCACAAAGTCTTGTGTTAGAAAAAATGAGGTTGATCATTTCATTTTGATAATTTTTATCATCTTCAATAATCATGAATGCATCCACAGACAGAAATTTATTTCCCCTTTATTTTGTTGAATTCCAATGCACATTTAATTTCCTAAGTTCCATAGTGCTAGATGATAAATAATTGGTTGTGTTCAGTCAGCGATGCCCAGATAATTTATATTTTTAGGTGGCAGTTATTAAAAATGATCTTAATCAATGAAATCACTAAATCAGCAAGCACATTTTCATAAACAAGCAAGCAGCCATTAGGTAATTATCATTACCCCATTTTGTAATGCATTAAGCATGTGACAGAATACCGAAGACTGGATGATTTATAAAGAAGAAAGGTTAATTGAGCACATGGTTCTGTAGGCTGGGGAGTTCAAGATTGGGCAGTTGCATCTGGTGGCCTCTGGTGAGGATCTCATGCTGTGTCATAACATGGCAGGGAAGCAGAAGCAGAAGCAGGCATGTGAAAGGGACAAAAGAGAAGGCACAATGTTTCTAACAACCCATTCTGACAAAAACTAACCTAGTCTAGCAGGAGCTAATCTAGTCTCACAAGCAAGACATTAATCCATCTAATCAACCTAATCACATCTTAAAGGCTCTGCCTCTCAACAGCATTACTCTGGTAATTAAATTTCAACCTGAGTTTTGTTGGGGACAAACCACATTCAAACCATAGCACCTAGAGAGAGAGAGAATTAAAAAAAAAAAATCCTTCTGGATGGAACTTGTACTGAGCCTGAGGCCTGGGAAATATTTTGCAAATGCTTCAAGGAATCAGTTTCTAGCATAATGTCTATTTATAACAACCCCAGAAGCAGCATATTGGAGGTATTATATCATCTGATAGCTGAGAAGTGGCTAAGAGTGTATGCTTTGGGAAGGCATACCTTAATTCAAATTCTGTCTCTTGTAGTTACTAGCTCTATGTATTGGTTAGGATGGCCCTAGCTGCTGTAATAAATGAACCCCTAAATCTCAGTGGTTTCACAAAATAGGTATCTCTGGTTCTTTTATGAAAAGACCTGAATAAGTACTCTGATTGGTTAGTGGTACTTCAAGAACTCAGGCTCCGTCTGCCTTATGGTTTTGCCATTCTCAAATACAACTTCCAAAGTTTATGGTAGACAGAGGAAGAAGCATAGAGAATTTTCCATTGGAATATTATTATGAGTTAAGCCTAGAAGTAGGACTCCTCAATCCTCAAGAGTACTTTAGGTTAGAACTCAGTAACATGGCCACAATCAACTGAAAAGGAAAGCTGGGAAATCTCCTCTGAGTGTTTTTCCAGAAAGAAGACAGAATAGATTGGGTTATGAAGTAACCAAGCTCTGACATTCTGTGTGACCTGTGAAATACTTAATCTCTCGACACAATTTCCTCATTCATAAGTGGAGTTAAAATGCCTCTGCCCACTGGATTGTTGTGAGGAGTTTATCACAGTGTTCTCCAAATAGCAGCATGGCTATTGTAACTAATAATAACATTTCACTGAACATTTCCTCTATGTTGATAAAGGCTTTATTAATCCCTATTTTTGGCTATTCAATGTTAAACATTTATGCACAATTCAAAATGTATTGTTACAATAAATGACTCTTCCACCCCTACCCTAGCTGTGTTCAAGAAAATCAAGAAACATGAAAATGGTAAAGTGACAAAGGACACAGAATTTATGCATATTCAAATCAAATGCAGCAGAGGGGAAGACTTTTAAGACTGGCTAAAGTAGTATACTCTTTCTATAATTGTAAGAATGAAGAAGGCTTGAATAATTTTGTTGAAATTTTCCATCACCTACTTACAATGGGAATTGTGAAGATGCCATTTAGCAAAAATCATAACGCTTTTATCAGAACTTCTTTCTTTTCTTTTAACTTGCTTCCCATCCTTTGGATAAAATATAAAGAATTCACCCTCCTAATTGCTGATCTCAAGAAAACTAAAATGATAGTTAGACCTAGTC
The DNA here is from genome assembly GCF_000001405.40 of Homo sapiens. Taxonomy (NCBI): domain Eukaryota; kingdom Metazoa; phylum Chordata; class Mammalia; order Primates; family Hominidae; genus Homo; species Homo sapiens. The sequence continues at coordinate 161,236,330 of NC_000005.10, forward strand.
TAATTAATTGAGTCCTTCAGGTAATATCTTCATACACAAAATTTTATAAGAATTTTGATTGGTCTAAAACCATCTTACAATATCATGTTTTTAATGCAAATGAAAGTTTTCAAAGGCTACCAGTTGAAACTGGTTTATAAATCATAAAGAGGTATAATTGTTCTTCTCCACAAGGGCAGAATTTTGTACCCTGATGGTTACTGAATCTGCTGCATTTTCCTTATGAGACGTTTTGTTTTGGCTTATATCAGAAAAGCACCCATTCTTGGCTTGTTTTTATGAATGATTTCCACCAGCCTTTGGGAAAAATCTTTAGTGACATTGATACATTCATGAACTAGTGATATTTTACCAGCCTAAAATGACTATGACACAACCAAGAAAGACTTGGTTACCCTAATGGATCAAGAATGGATAACACTGGAAATAAAACCACTTTGGCATGCTTGAAACCGTTGGGTGCCAACAGTAGGATACAGAGGTGCTAAGTCAAACACGTGGCAAGGAGAATTTAATAGCATGGCTGTAGGCAAGATATGAGGATGGCTTTGTAAAATATATCTGCCACATAAAGACACAGCTAAAATTACCCAGAAAGGGACAAAGGGGCAGAGACTCGAGCGTATAGAATAAAGTAGGTGAGCCTAATCTTAAATATCTTCACAGGGCACATGAAGTGCTTTATGATATGGCTGCTACTCATTTCTTCTGCCCTATCTTTGTGCTCTCCCTTTATTGAACTCAGCTCTTGCTAGATGGAAGTACTTGCAGCTCCACATTTTTCTCTTACTTTTATTGCATTTTATATTCTTTTAAGCACAAAGTCATGCCTCCTTCTTGCTCTGGCAACTCCTAGTCACCCCTTAGGTCTTGGCTTAACTGATGTTCTTTACAAATAGCCATTCCTGATGTTGTAAGACTGAATGGCGTGTTCTTTTTTATATGATCCTACTTTGATACAGTGATTATCTATTATGGCAGTTATGAATTGCCTGTATCTTTTATTAGCTTTTATGTTCTTTGAGTTTAGAAAATAGATAACTTGTTATTGTGTTCTTCTAGTATCTTATAAAGTGCTACACACATATTAGGTCTTCAACAATTTTATTGAGTGAACAAATGACCGAAGAATGTTATCTGTCCTATCATTTCCCTTAGAAGGGTTATACCAGTTTTTATATATTGGTGAGGCTATGCTATTAGATTTATGCTAAATATCTATTGCCTTTGTTAAAGTCTAGCTTATTTCAAATAACTTGAACTCTGCTGAGATCTCCCTAGAGGTGGCAGATAAATAATGGAAAACACCAAGAACTGGCCAGGCACAGTGGCTCAAATCTGTAATCCCAGTGCTTTAGGATGCAAAGGCAAGAGGTTCACTTAAACCCAGGAGTTTGAGACCAACCTGGGCAATGTAGTGAAACCCTCATCTCTACAAATTTTTTTGTTGTTTAGTTAGCCAGACATGGTGCAGTGAGCTATGATCGCACCCCTGCACTCCAGCATGGGCAAAGGAGTGAGACCCTGTCTCTGAAAACAAAACAAATAAAAACAAAACAGAAAACCACCAAGACCTATCTAATGGTTTGGTGGTTATTTGATCTGAGAAAAGTGGTAACTCCTTCCCCTGTGCCTTCCTTGGAAGAGTACTTATGTCTTTTTACATTTAAAAAGACATATTTCACATTTCTCAAAAGCTATTTATTCTTGTCCAAGTCATTCAGAGCAAAATAAATTATGTTTATAAAAACCATTGTAATCTAGAGAAGAGCATAGCTATGTAAACAGAAGATGCTGCATTGTTATCTCCAGTCACCTTTGGAAGTTTTGCATCTGAAAAGCATCAGTTTCAAAATTAAATTATGCTCCATTTCATATTTCTAACTCATGATTAAAACAGTGTTTGGACCAGCAGGTTTTCTACTAACACACACTTGTATACAAGATGCTGCTCTGCCTTGCTGTCTAAATAATTCTTTGCAGAGATGAAAGGTTAATTACCAGCTGTTCTAATGATTTGTTGTTATTGATTTAAATGCTCCATTTATTTCAATCACATTAGTACAGTTTATATTACAAAAGTTTCCATTAACCCTCTAAAGAAAGTGCAGTTTCCCTATCAAATAATGCTTTCTAAAGGTCTGAGGCAAGGGTGGCAAGTTGGATGGGGGGAGGTGGTGGAGGAAAACAAACACTTTGGAAATCCTCTCAATAGAAAATTCCAGTGGTTTGTGAATGATTGTCACTCCATGTGGGGAAAAAATATCAAGATTAAGCATATAATATTGTTACTTTGCATTTTGATTCTTAAAACAAGACCATTCATGTTCAAATTTCAAGTTTGCAACTGAGAGAAATGGGGAAATAGAAGTAATGTGATTGTTCAGGTATACCTACTAAATTAAAGCCAAATGCAAGTGTATTACTCGGTTTTCACACTGCTATAAAGATACTGTCCAAGACTGGGTAATTTACAAACAAAGGAGGTTTAATTGATTTACAGTTCCTCATGGCTGGGGAGGCCTCAGGAAATATACAATCATGGGGGAAGGGAAATCAGACACCTTCTTCACAAGGCAGCAGGAGAGAGAGAGCGTGTGAAGGAGAAACTGTCAAACACTTATAAAACCATCAGATCTTGTGAGAACTCAATCACTATCAGGAGAACAGCATGGAGGAAACTGCTTTCATGAGCCAATCACCTCCTTCCTTTGGCACCTGAGATTACAGGTTCCTCCCTTGACACCTGGGGATTATAATTTGAGATGAGATTTGGGTGGGGACACAGAGCTAAACCATATCAGCAAGACTAAAATTTAGGTATCTTTTTCCATCTAGAACCCACATACATACATACACACACACACACACACACACACAAGTGGGCACACTAGTAAACACTGAGAGAGATAAACGTTATAGGTACTTTATAAATACATACTATGTTTTTGCTTATTACCAAAGTAAAGTTATGACTCTGAGGAACTCCTTCAATAGCAAAATTTCCCTTCCTTTTTTATGTAATTGGAATAAAAATAAAATCAGTTTTGAAGAACTCCACAAAATACTCAACAGTAGACGTTTTCAAAAAGGAGACTGAAACTCCAGGAGACCCTGAAAAGTCACTAGTTTTCTTACCTGGAAGTGAAGTTTTAGGCCTTGAAATCTCCATTTTTTCTGACAATTCCTGCAAGAATTGTCTTCAGGGTAGCTAACCAAAACCTGTTTAAATGGATCGAGTGCTATCTTAACTTATGGTCTTGTACCCATTTTACATATTGTACTGGTTTGTTAAGAATTAAGGCTGGTTCAGATCTGCATAATAAATGCTCACTTCTCTTATCTATACACTGTTTTTTTTTAATCTTATATTTTTAAAACCTTCAAAGGTTGCTGAAAGGTTTGTGTGAGCTAACTACGAAGCCCTTTGCACATAGCCTAGCACACAGTATACTCTCCACTAACGGTAGTCACTATTGATGCCATTACCAGCATTAACTACTTACAAGTGGGGCTAACAGAACCTCATAGGGAAATGCCTGCATTACAAAGTTAACTATGAAGTATTGCAAGTACATTACATCTTCATTAAATTTACTGCATGGATACATTTTAAGTATAACTCTTTTTAAGAAATAGTTACCCTAGTTTTACACTTACACCAATTATGCTGCTATTCACTCAAAATGTTAGAACACAGCACTGAGACCAGACCACGGAACCAACCACTATACCAAGTGAGGCACACAGATTTACCACTTTACCATTACGCCTTTTAGATCCACAAGACTTTAGGGTTTATTTCTGAGGGTACAAGTATCTTCACACCTCATTTACTGCAAACCTTTTTGTCCTTAACTGACTTTAGAGCCTAAAACAAAAATCCTTTGTGAATGAAAAATAGTGAAGATTAGCCAGGAAAATGAAGTATTTGTATCAGGCCTCTGAACCCAAGCTAAGCCATCATATCCTCTGTGACTTGCACGTACACATCCAGATGGCTGCTTCCTGCCTTAACTGATGGCATTCCACCACAAAAGAAGTGAAATTTGGTACCATGACTCAGATCGGGGAACCTCTCTTGGGAGATCAATCCCCTGTCCTCCTGCTCTTTGCTCCATGGAAAAGATCCACCTACGACCTCGGGTCCTCAGACCCACCAGCCCAAGGAACATCTCACCAATTTTAAATCGGGTAAGTGGCCTCTTCTTACTCTCTTCTCCAACCTCTCTCACTATCCCTCAACTACTTTCTCCTTTCAATTTTGGCACCACCCTTCAATCTCTCCCTTCTCTTAATTTCAATTCCTTTCATTTTCTGGTAGAGACAAAGGAGACACGTTTTATCCACGGACCCAAAACTCTGGTGCTGGTCACGGACTTGGGAAGGCAGCCTTCCCTTGGTGTTTAATAATTGCAGGGACACCTCTCTGATTATTCACCCATGTTTCAGAGGTGTCTGACCACACAGGGACGCCTGCCTTGGTCCTTCACCCTTAGGAGCAAGTCCCAATTTTCTGGGGGAGGGGCAAGAAACCTGACCCCTTCTCTCCCTGTATCTACCCCTTCTCTGCTTTTCTGGGGGGCAAGAACCCCCTGATCCCTTATTTTCATGCCCCGCCCTCTTATCTCTGAGCCCCGATCCCTATTTCCATGCCCCGTCCTCTTCTCTCTGCACCCCAACTCCTTATTTCTGCACCCCAACCTCTTATCTCTGTGCCCCAATCCCATATTTCCATGCCCTGAACTTTTATCTCTGAGCCCCGAACCCTTTATTTCCATGCCCCAACCCCTTTCCGACTTTTCTGGAGGGCAAGAACCCCCCACCCCTTCTCCCCGTGTCTCTAATCTCTCTTTTCTCTAGGCTTGCCTCCTTCCCTATGGGCAAGCTTCCGCCCTCCATTCCCCCTTCTTCTCCCTTAGCCTGTGTTCTTAAAAACCTAAAACCTCTTCAACTCACACCTGACCTAAAACCTAAATGCCTTATTTTCTTCTACAATGCCACTTGACCCCAATACAAACTCAACAGTGATTCCAAATAGCAGAAAATGGCACTTTCAATTTTTCCATCCTACAAGATCTAAATAATTCTTGTTGTAAAATGGGCAAACGGTTTGAGGTGCCTGATGTCCAGGCATTCTTTTACAAATCAGTCCCTCCCTAGTCTCTGTTCCCAATGCAACTTGTCCCAAAGCTTCCTTCATTCCCTCCCGCCTGTCTTCTCAGTCCCAACCCCAAGCGTCACTGAGTCCTTCTAATCTTCCTTTTCTACAGACCCATCTGACCTCTCCCCTCCTTTCCAGGCTGAGCTAGGTCCCAATTCTTCCTCAGCCTCTGTTCCTCCACCCTATAATCCTTTTATCATCTCCCCTCCTCACACTTGGTCCGGCTTACAGTTTCCTTCTGTGACTAGCTCTCCCCCACCTGCCCAGCAATTTCTTCTTAAAAAGGTGGCTAGAGCTAAAGGCATAGTCAAGGTTAATGCTCCTTTTTCTTTATCCCAAATCAGATACCATTTAGGCTCTTTTTCATCAAATATAAAAACCCAGCCCAGTTCATGGCTCATTTGGCAGCAACCCTGAGATGCTTTACAGCCCTAGACCCTAAAAGGTCAAAAGGCCGTCTTAGTCTCAATATATTTTATTACCCAATCTGCTCCCGACATTAAATAAAACTCTAGAAGTTAAATTCCAGCCCTCAAAACCCACAACAGGACTTAATTAACCTTACCTTCAAGGTGTACAATAATAGAGTAGAGGCAGCCAAGTAGCAACATATTTCTGAGTTGAGATTCTTTGCCTCCACTGTGAGACAAACCCCAGCCACATCTCCAGCACATAAGAACTTCCAAATGCCTAAACTGCAGTGGCCAGGTGTTCCTCCAGGCCCATCTCCCCCAGGAGCTTGCTACAAGTGCCAGAAATCTGGACACCAGTCCAAGAAATGCCCGCAGCCTGGGATTCTTCCTAAGCCACATCCCATCTGTGCGGGACCCCACTGAAAATCGGACTGTTCAACTCACCTGGCAGCCACTCCCAGAGCCCCTGAAACTCTGGCCCAAGGCTCTCTGACTGACTCCTTCCCAGATCTTCTCGGCTTAGTGGCAGAAGACTGACACTGCCTGATTGCCTCAGAAGCCCCCTAGACCATCACGGACGCCAAGCTTCGGGTACCTCTCACAGTGGAGGGTAAGTCCATCCGCTTCTTATTCAATACAGAGGCCTACCCACTCTACTTTACCTTCTTTTCAAAGGCCTGTTTCCCTTGCCTCCAAAACTGTTGTGGGTATTGACGGCCAGGCTTCTAAACATCTTAAAAGGCCCCAACTCTGATGTCAACTTAGACAATACTTTTTAAGCACTCCTTTTTGGTTATCCCCACCTGCCCAGTTCCCTTATTAGGCCGAGACACTTTAACTAAATTATCTGCTTCCTTGACTATTCCTGGACTACAGCCACATCTCATTGCCGCCCTTCTTCCCAATCCAAAGCCTCCTTTGCCTCCTCCTCTTGTATGCCCCCACTTTAAGCTACAAGTATAGCATACCTCTACTCCCTCCTTGGTGACCGATCATGCACCCCTTACCATCTCATTAAAACCTAATCACCCTTACTCTGCTCAACGCCAATATCCCATCCCTCAGTGCACTTTAAAAAGATTAAAGCCTATTATCACTCGCCTGCTACAGCATGGCCTTTTAAAGCCTATAAACTCTTCTTACAATTCCCCTATTTTACCTGTCCTACAACCAGACAAGCCTTACAAGTTAGTTCAGGATCTGAGCCTTATTAACCAAATTGTTTTGCTTATCTACCCTGTGGTGCCAAACCCATATACTCTCCTATCCTCAATACCTCCCTCTACAACCCGTTATTCTGTTCTGCATCTCTAACATGCTTTCTTTACTATTCCTTTGCACCCTTCATACCCAGCCTCTCTTCACTTTCACTTAGACTGACACTGACACCCATTAGGCTCAGCAAATTACATAGGCTGTACTGTGGCAAGCCTTCACAGACAGCCTCCATTACTTCAGTCAAGCCCAAATTTCATCCTCATCTATTACCTATCTCGGCATAATTCTCATAAAAACACACGTGCTCTCCCTGCTGATCCTGTTCAACTAATCTCCCAAACCTCAATCCCTTCTACAAAACAACTCCTTTCCTTCCTAGGCATGGTTAGTGCAATCAGAATTCTTACACAAAAGCCGAGACCGCACCCTGCAGCCTTTCTGTCCAAACAACTTGACCTTACTGTTTTAGCCTAGCTCTCATGTCTGCGTGCAGCAGCTGCCGCTGCTTTAATACTTTTAGAGACCCTAAAAATCACAAACTATGCTCCACTCACTCTCTATAGTTCTCATAACTTCCAAAATCTACTTTCTTCCTCATACCTGACACATATACTTTCTGCTCCCCGGCTCCTTCAGCTATACTCACTCTTTGTTGAGTCTCCCACAATTACCATTGTTCCTGGCACGGACTTCAATCTGGCCTCCCACATTATTCTGGATACCACACCTGACCCTCATGACTGTATCTCTCTGATCCACCTGACATTCACCCCATTTCCCCATATTTCCTTTTTTCCTGTTCCTCACCCTGATCACATTTAGTTTATTGATGGCAGCTCCACCAGGCCTAATCGCCACTCACCAGCCAAGGCAGGCTATGCTACAGTATCTTCCACATATATCATTGAGACTACTGCTTTGTCCCCCTCCACTACCTCTCAGCAAGCCAAACTCATTGCGTTAAGTCAAGCCCTCACTCTTGCAAAAGGACTAAACCTCAATATTTATACTGACTCTAAATATGCCTTCCATATCCTGCACCACCATGCAAGAGGTTTCCTCACTATACAAGGGTCCTCTATCATTAATGCCTCTTTAATAAAAACGCTTCTCAAAGCTGCTTTACTTCCAAAGGAAGCTAGAGTCATTCACTGCAAAGGCCATCAAAGGGCATCAGATCCCATCGCTCAGGACAATGTTTATGCTGATAAGATAGCTAAAAAAGCAGCTAGCATTCCAACTTATATCACTCACTTTCAGTTTTTCTCCTTCTCATCTGGCCATTCCCACCTACTCCCCTACTGAAACTTCCACCTATCAATCTCTTCCCACACAAGGCAAATAGTTCTTAGACCAAGGAAAATATCTCCTTCCCAGCCTCACAGGCCCATTCTATTCTGTCGTCATTTCATAACCTCTTCCATGTAGGTTACAAGCCACTAGCCTGTCTCTTAGAACCTCTCATTTCCTTTCCATCATGGAAATCTATCCTCAAGGAAATCACTTCTTAGTGTTCCATCTGCTCTTCTACTACCCCTCAGGGATTGTTCAGGCCTCCTCCCTTTCCCACACATCAAGCTCAGGGATTTGCCCTTGCCCAGGACTGGCAAATTGACTTTACTCACATGCCCTGAGTCAGAAAACTAAAATACCTCTTAGTCTGGGTAGATATTTTCACTGGATGGGTAGAGGCCTTTCCTACAGGGTCTGAGAAGGCCACCACGGTCATTTCTTCTGTTCTGTCAGACTTAATTCCTCGGTTTGGCCTTCCCACCTCTACGCAGTCCGATAGTGGACCGGCCTTTATTAGTCAAATCAGCCAAGCAGTTTTTCAGGCTCTTGGTATTCAGTGAAACCTTTATATCCCTTACAGTCCTCAGCCTTCAGAAAACGTAGAACGGACTAATAGTCTTTTAAAAACACACCTCACCAAGCTCAGCCACCAACTTAAAAAGGACTGGACAATACTTTTACCTCTTTCTTTTCTCAGAATTCAGGCCTGTCCTTGGAATGCTACAGGGTACAGCCCATTTGAGCTCCTGTATGGATGCTCCTTTTTATTAGGCCCCAGTGTCATTCCAGACACCACACCAACTTAGACTGTGCCCCAAAAAACTTGTCATCCCTACTGTCTTCTGTCTAGTCATACTCGTATTTACCATTCTCAACTACTCATACATGCCCTGCTCTTGTTTACACTGCCAGTTTACACTGTTTCTCCAAGCCATCACAGCTGATATCTCCTGGTGCTATCCCCAAACTGCCACTCTTAACTCTTAAAGTAAATAAATAATCTTTGCTGGCAGGGCTATGCTGAACCTCTTTAGGCACTCTCTAATTAGATGTCCTGGGTCCTCCCAATTCTTAGACTTTTAATACCTGTTTTTCTCCTACTCTTATTCCAGTTAGTTTTTCAATTCATACAAAACCGTATCCAGGCCATCACCAATAATTCTAAATGACAAATGTTTCTTCTAACAGTCCCACAATATCACCCCTTACCACAAAATCTTCATTCAGCTTAATCTCTCCCACTCTAGGTTCCCACGCTGCCCCAATCCTGCTCGAAGCAGCCCTGAGAAACATCACCCATTATCTCTCCATACCGTCCCCCAAAATTTTCTCCGTCTCAACACTTTACCACTATTTTATTTTTCTTATTAACATAAGAAGACAGGAATGTCAGGCCTCTGAGCCCAAGCTAAGCCATCATATCCCCTGTGACCTGCAGGTACACATCCAGATGGCCAGTTCCTGCCTTAACTGATGACATTCCACCACAAAAGAAATGAAAATGGCACGTTCCTGCCTTAACTGATGATGTTATCTAGTGAAATTCCTTCTCCTGGCTCATCCTGGCTCAAAAGCTCCCCTACTGACCACCTTGTGACACACATTCCTGCCAGCCAGAGAACCCCCCTTTTCCTTTTACCTACCCAAATCCTGTAAAACGGTCCCACCCCTATCTCCCTTAGCTGACTCTCTTTTCGGATTCAGCTGCCTGCACCCAGGTGATTTAAAGCTTTATTGCTCACACAAAGCCTGTTTGGTGGTCTCTTCACACAGACGCGAGTGAAAATTTGGGCCTGAGAGACAAGTAATTCTCTTAGTAATTTAACATATAAATAAAGAATAAATAATTTGATTTTTCTACACAATTGGAAGCATTTTTTTCAAGTCACCTGCTGACATCTCTATGACAATTTGGAGAAACAAATAGGAAGTCAGGCAGTCTGTGCACTTTACTTTTTAATTATTTTAGAGAGATGAAGGTCTTAGTACAGGCTAGACTGAAACTCTGGGCTCAAGCAATACTCCCACCTCAGTGTCCCCCAGAGTAGCTAAGACTACAGGTGCAAACCACTGTGCCTGGCTAGTTTGTGCACATCAGTTGTCTTTCTCAGCTAGAGAAGAATAGAAGGTTCCCACGTCAGTTTTGCTGAACAAAAGATCACCTCCTGCCAGCCCAATGTCTCCTGTCCTTTACATTCCTATAGATCTCTGTTCTATTTTTTTTTCTTTAACATTTTTCAAAGTCACTTTTCAACACCCTGAGACTCAGTGTTACTACAGAATCCTTGCCTAGGTAAGTACTTTTGGTTTCAAATAAGGAAAACCTGCTCAAACTGTATTAAGTCAAGAAAGCACCTTAGAAGGAAGGAGAAATCTATCGCAGAAGCATGAGCAGTCTAGTCTTAAAAAGGATGGAAATAAGAAAACAGATAACGTTCTTTGAGACAGCCAGGGCCCATCCTCATCTGTGGACCTGTCGCTGCCTCCCTGGAACCATATCGTCTTTCATCACTGCTGCTCTCTTTTGCCTCACTCTTTCCCCTTGGCTGACTGGCTTTCCCTTCTTTCCCTGCCCATGATGTCAAATGGTTGCCCTGTAACCCCTCAACTTATATCTTCTTAACTCAAACAAAATGAAAAAATGACCAGCATTTTGAAATGCAAATTCCAAACTCCTGGGAGAGGAATTAGCATTAATCCACTGGAGTCAGTCTAACAGCTTCTTTCTGGGACAGACGATTTATGTAACACAAATGCCACATCAGCACCAGCCTCCACTTGCCCACCCCCCACCCCCATTCTCAGGATAGAACACACAATCTTCAGAGAGTGTGGTATGGACTGAGAACAAGTTTCTATTTTGAAAACATCATTTCTGATCCACATTATTTGGTAAAAAGGTTTTTCTGTTTTTATTACTTCAGGGAGAATGTGAAAATGATACCTCCTGCCAAGCACTTCCAAAGCTATTCACATATTCAAAAGCAAATGAAGACACCACAGCTAATCTCTGGGAGACATCCTGTGCAGCTTGGTGATGCCCAACAAATGTATCAATTTGGTTGAAACAGAACCACGCAGGTTATCTTCCTGTAAACATGCTGAGCAGCCTCTTCCCTGCTTTTCCTTTGTAGTAGACATTGGTGCTGATCCCATGGAAAATGTCAAGCACACGTTCCAGTCAATATGAGCTTTTTTCTGAACACAAATACAAACACGCTTACTGCCACATGCACAGATGCATTTTTAAAGAAGTAAAACTTAATTTTTTTTTTTTTTTGAGATGGAGTCTTGCTCTGTCACCCAGGCTGGAGTGCAGTGGTGTGATCTCTGCTCACTGCAACCTCCGCTTCCCGGCTTCAAGCGATTCTCTTTCCTCAGCCTCCTGAGTAGCTGAGATTACAGCCACCCACCATCACGCCTGGCTAATTTTTGTATTTTTAGTAGAGACAGGGTTTCACCATGTTGGTCAGGTTGGTCTCGAACTCCTGACCTCGGGTGATCTGCCTGCCTCAGCCTCCCCAAGTGCTGGGACTACAGGCTTGAGCCACCGTGCCCAGCCTTAGATACTTTTTAAAAACAGCTGGCATCCCAGTTCAAAATGACTGGACAGCACTGTACTCTATAGCCCAATCATTTGTGTCTAAATAATTTCTGAGGCTCTGCTAGTGCCAGATGAACTCAGCTCAGCCTGATGATACAGGAGTGCACAACCATGATCCATACCTTTAGAGGGATTTCAGTTTACTAGGAGGGAGAGTTGAGCATACAGGTTATCAAGATGCAGAACATGAGTTTTAAGATGGGTGAAGGACAGAGTGCTTTGAAAGAATACTTTCTGAGATAAGACCTGAAGGGAGTTTGAGGGAGGAATGAGAGACACTCAAGAGGCCAGTGCGGGTGGAGGAGGGAACTCCAGGAAACATGGTGCAAGATGAAGTGGAAATGAAGGTAAAACCCAATTGTGCAGAGCCCTATGAATCAATGATTTTCAGGCCCCTGAGCCCAAGCTAAGCCATCATATCCCCTGTGACCTGCAGGTACACATCCAGATGGCCAGTTCCTGCCTTAACTGATGACATTCCACCACAAAAGAAGTGAAAATGGCCTGTTCCTGCCTTAACTGATGACATTGTCTTCTGAAATTCCTTCTGGCTCATCCTGGTTCAAAAGCTCCCCCACTGAGTACCTTGTGACCCCCCAACCCCTGCCCATCAGAGAACAACCCCCCCTTTGATTGTAATTTTACTTTACCTACCCAAATCTTATAAAAATGGGCCCACCCCTATCTCCCTTCACTGACTCTCTTTTCAGACTCAGCCCGCCTGCACCCAGGTGAAACAAACAGCCTTGTTGATCACACAAAGCCTGTTTGGTGGTCGCTTCACATGGACGTGAGTGAAATTTGGTGCCATGACTCGGATTGGGGAACCTCCCTTGGGAGATCAATCCCCTGTCCTCCTGCTCTTTGCTCCGTGAAAAAGATCCACCTATGACCTTGGGTCCTCAGACCCACCAGCCCAAGGAACATCTCACCAATTTTAAATCGGGTAAGTGGCCTCTTCTTACTCTCTTCTCCAACCTCTCTCACTATCCCTCAACCACTTTCTCCTTTCAATCTTGGCACCACCCTTCAATCTCTCCCTTCTCTTAATTTCAATTCCTTTCATTTTCTGGTAGAGACAAAGGAGACACGTTTTATCCGTGGACCCAAAACTCTGGCGCCAGTCACAGACTCGGGAAGACAGCCTTCCCTTTGTGTTTAATCATTGCAGGGACACCTCTCTGATTATTCACCCACGTTTCAGAGGTGTCTGACCACACAGGAATGTCTGCATTGGTCCTTCATGCTTAGCAGCAAGTCCTGCTTTTCTGAGGGAGGGACAGGAACCCAGACCCCTTCTCTCCCTGTCTCTACCCCTTCTCTGCTTTTCTGGGGGGCAAGAACCCCCCATCCCTTATTTCCATGCCCCAACCCCTTATCTCTGTGCTCCGATCCCTTATTTCCATGCCCTGACCTCTTATCTCCGCACCCAGATCCCTTATTTCCATGCCCTGACCTCTTATCTCTGCACCCCGATCCCTCGTTTCTGCACCCCAATCCCTTATTTCTGCACCCCGACCTCTTATATCTTTGCCCCAACTCCTTATTTCCATGCCCTGACCTCTTATCTCTGCGCCACAACCCATTTCTGTGCCCTGACCCCTTTCCCACTTTTCTGGGGGGTAAGAACACCTGAACCCCCTCCCTCCATGTCTCTACTCTCTTTTTTCTAGGCTTGCCTCCTTCACTATAGGCAAGCTTCTGTCCTACATTCCCCCTTCTTCTCCCTTAGCCTGTGTTCTTAAAAACCTAAAACCTCTTCAACTCACACCTGACCTAAAACCTAAATGCCTTATTTTCTTCTGCAATGCCCCTTGACCCCAATACAAACTCGACAGTGATTCCAAATAGCCAGAAAATGGCACTTTCAATTTTTCCATCCTACAAGATCTAAATAATTCTTGTCGTAAAACAGGCAAACAGTCTGAGGTGCCTGACATCCAGGCATTCTTTTACACATCAGTCCCTCCCTAGTCTCTGTTCCCAATGCAACTCGTCCCAAATCTTCCTTCTTTCCCTCCCACCTGTCCCCTCAGTCCCAACCCCAAGGCCCTCAGTCCCAACCCCAAGCATTCCTGAGTCTTGAAAATCTTCCTTTTCTACAGACCCATCTGACCTCTCCACTCCTTGCCAGGCTGAGCTAAGTCCCAATTCTTCCTCAGCCTCTGTTCCTCCACCCTATAATCCTTTTATCACCTCCCCTCCTCACACCCAGTCCGGCTTGCAGTTTCGTTCTGTGATTAGCCCTCCCCCATCTGCCCAGCAATTTCCGCTTAAAAAGGTGGCTAGAGGTAAAGGCATAGTCAAGGTTAATGCTCATTTTTCTTTATCCCAAATCAGAGAGTATTTAGGCTCTTTTTCATCAAATATAAAAACCTAGCCCAGTTCATGGCTCGTTTGGCAGCAACCCTGAGATGCTTTACAGCCCTAGACCCTAAAAGGTCAAAAGGCCGTCTTAGTCTCAATATACATTTTATTACCCTATCTGCTCCTGACATTAAATAAAACTCCAAAAATTAAATTCCAGCTCTCAAACCCCACACAGGACTTAATTAACCTCACCTTCAAGGTGTACAATAATAAAGTGGAGGCAGCCAAGTAGCAACATATTTCTGAGTTGCAATTCTTTGCCTCCACTGTGAGACAAACCCCAGCCACATCTCCAGCACACGAGAACTTCCAAACGCCTAAACCGCAGTGGCCAGGCGTTCCTCCAGGCCCGTCTTCCCCAGGAGCTTGCTACAAGTGCCAGAAAGCTGGCCACCAGGCCAAGGAATGCGCGCAGCCCAGGATTCCTCCTAAGCCACGTCCCATCTGTGCGGGACCCCACTGAAAACCGGACTGTTCAACTCACCTGGCAGCCACTCCCAGAGCCCCTGGAACTCTGGCCCAAAGCTTTCTGACTGACTCCTTCCTAGATCTTCTCGGCTTAGCAGCTGAAGACTGACGCTGCCTGATTGCCTCGGAAGCCCCCTAGACCATCACGGACGCCAAGCTTCGGGTAACTTTCACAGTGGAAGGTAAGTCTGTTCCCTTCTTAATCAATACGGAGGCTACCCACTCCACTTTACCTTCTTTTCAAGGGCCTGTTTCCCTTGCCTCCAAAACTGTTGTGGGTATTGACGTCCAGGCTTCTAAACCTCTTAAAAGGCCCCAAATCTGATGTCAACTTAGACAATACTTTTTTAAGCACTCCTTTTTGGTTATCCCCACCTGCCCAGTTCCCTTATTAGGCCGAGACACTTTAACTAAATTATCTGCTTCCCTGACTATTCCTGGGCTACAGCTGCATCTCATTGCTGCCCTTCTTCCCAATCCAAAGCCTCCTTTGCGTCTCCTCTTGTATCCCCCCACCTTAACCCACAAGTATAAGATACCTCTACTCCCTCCTTGGCGACCGATCATGCACCCCTTACCATCTCATTAAAACCTAATCACCCTTACCCCACTCAACGCCAATATCCCATCCCTCAGTGCACTTTAAAAAGATTAAAGCCTGTTACCACTCTCCTGCTATAGCATGGCCTTTTAAAGCCTATAAACTCTCCTTACAATTCCCCCATTTTACCTGTCCTAGAACCAGACAAGCCTTACAAGTTAGTTCAGGATCTGAGCCTTATTAACCAAATTGTTTTGCCTATCCACCCCATGGTGCCAAACCCATATACTCTCCTATCCTCAATACCTCCCTCCACAATCCATTATTCTGTTCTGGATCTCAAACATGCTTTCTTTACTATTCCTTTGCAACCTTCATCCCAGCCTCTCTTCGCTTTCACTTAGACTGACTCTGACACCCATCAGGGTCAGCAAATTACCTAGGCTGTACTACCACAAGGCTTCACAGATAGCCCCCATTACTTCAGTCAAGCCCAAATTTCATCCTCATCTGTTACCTATCTCGGCATAATTCTCATAAAAACACAAGTGCTCTCCCTGCTGATCGTGTCCGACTAATCTCCCAAAACTCAATCCCTTCTACAAAACAACAACTCCTTTCCTTCCTAGGCATGGTTAGATACTTTCGACTTTAGATATCTAGTTTTGCCATCCTAACAAAACCATTATATAAACTCACAAAAAGAAACCTAGCTGACCCCATAGATCCTAAATCCTTTCCCCACTCCTCTTTGCATTGCTTGAAGACAGCTTTAGAGATTGCCCCCCCCGACTAGCTCTCCCTGACTCATCCCAACCCTTTCATTACCCACAGCCGAAGTGCAAGGCTGTGCAGTCAGAAATCTTACACAAGGACCAGGACCGCACCCTGTAGGCTTTTTATCCAAACAACTTGACCTTACTGTTTTGCCTAGCCCTCAAGTCTGCGTATGGTGGCTGCCACTGCTCTAATACTTTTAAAGGCCCTTAAAATCACAAACTATGCTCAACTCACTCTCTACAGTTCTCATAACTTCCAAAATCTGTTTTCTTCCTCACACCTGGCACATATACTTTCTGCCTCCCAGCTCCTTCAGCTGTACTCACTCTTTGTTAAGTCTCCCACAATTACCATTGTTCCTGGCCCAGACTTCAATCCTGCCTCCCACATTATTCCTGATACCACACCTGACCACCATGACTTTATCTCTCTGATCCACCTGACATTCACTCCATTTCCCCATATTCTTTCATGTTCCTCACCTTGAACACACTTAGTTTATTGATGGCAGTTCCACCAGGCCTAATTGCCACTCACCAGCCAAGGCAGGCTATGCTATAGTATCTTCCACATATATCATTGAGGCTACTGCTCTGTCCCCCCTCCACTACCTCTTAGCAAGCTAAACTCATTGCCTTAAGTCAAGCCCTCACTCTTGCAAAAAGACTAAATATCAGTATTTATACTGACTCTAAATATGCCTTTCATATCCTGCACCACCATGCAAGAGGTTTCCTTACTACACAAAGGTCCTCTATCATTAATGCCTCTTTAATAAAACCTCTGCTCAAGGCTGCTTTACTTCCAAAGGAAGCTAAGGTCATTTACTGCAAAAGGCATCAAAAGGCCTCAGATCCCATTGCTCTAGGCAACGCTTATGCTGATAAGGTGGCTAGACAAGCAGCTAGCTTTCCAACTTCTGTCTCTCACAGCAAAGCTTATGCTGATAAGGTGACTAGACAAGTGGCTGGCTCTCTGACTTCTGTCCCTCACTTTCAGTTTTTCTCCTTCACATCGGTCACTCCCACCTACCCCCCGCTGAAACTTCCACCTATCAATCTCTTCCCACACAAGGCAAATAGTTCTTAGACCAAGGAAAATATCTCCTTCCCAGCCTCACAGACCCATTCTATTCTGTTGTGATTTCATAACCTCTTCCATGTAAGTTACAAGCCGCTAGCCCGTCTCTTACAACCTCTCATTTCCTTTCCATCATGGAAATCTATCCTCAAGGAGGTCACTTCTTAGTGTTCCATCTGCTCTTCTACTACCCCTCAGGGATGGCTCAGGCCTCCTCCCTTTCCCACACATCAAGCTCAAGGATTTGTCCCTGCCCAAGACTGGCAAATTGACTTTACTTACATGCCCCAAGTCAGAAAACTAAAATACCTCTTAGTCTAAGTAGACACTTTCACTGGATGGGTAGAGGCCTTTCCTACAGGGTCTGAGAAGGCCACCACGGTCATTTCTTCCCTTCTGTCAGACATAATTACTCAGTTTGGGCTTCCCACCTCTACGCAGTCTGATAGTGGACCGGCCTTTATTAGTCAAATCAGCCAAGCAGTTTTTCAGGCTCTTAGTATTCAGTGAAACCTTTATATCCCTTACAGTCCTCAGTCTTCAGGAAAGGTAGAACGGACTAATAGTCTTTTAAAAACACACCTCACCAAGCTCAGCCACCAACTTAAAAAGGACTGGACAATACTTTTACCTCTTTCTTTTCTCAGAATTCAGGCCTGTCCTTGGAATGCTACGGGTACAGCCCATTTGAGCTCCTGTATAGGCGCTCCTTTTTATTAAGCGCCAGTCTCATTCCAGACACCACACCAACTTAGACTGTGCCCCAAAAAACTTGTCATCCCTACTGTCTTCTGTCTAGTCATACTCGTATTCACCATTCTCAACTACTCATACATGCCCTGCTCTTGTTTACACTGCCGGTTTACACTGTTTCTCCAAGCCATCACAGCTGATATCTCCTGGTGCTATCCCCAAACTACCACTCTTAACTCTTGAAGTAGATAAATAAATAATCTTTGCTGGCAGGACTATGCTGAATCTCCTTAGGCACTCTCTAATTAGATGTCCTGGGTCCTCCCAATTCTTAGACTTTTAATACCTGTTTTTCTCCATCTCTTATTCCATTTAGTTTTTCAATTCATACAAAACCATATCCAGGCCATCACCAATAATTCTAAATGACAAATGTTTCTTCTAACAGTCCCACAATATCACCCCTTACCACAAAATCTTCATTCAGCTTAATCTCTCCCACTCTAAGTTCCCACGCTGCCCCTAATCCTGCTTGAAGCAGCCCTGAGAAACATCACCCATTATCTCTCCATACCACCCCCCAAAATTTTTGCCATCCCAACACTTTACCGCTATTTCATTTTATTTTTCTGATTAATGTAAGAAGACAGGAATGTCAGGCCTCTGAGCCCAAGCTAAGCCATCATATCCCCCGTGACCTGCAGGTACACATCCAGATGGCTGGTTCCTGCCTTAACTGATGACATTCCACCACAAAAGAAGTGAAAATGGCCTGTTCCTGCCTTAACTGATGACATTGTCTTGTGAAATTCCTTCTCCTGGCTCATCCTGGCTCAAAACCTCCCCCACTGAGTACCTAGTGACCCCCACTCCTGCCCGTCAGAGAACAACCCCCCTTTGACTGTAATTTTACTTTACCTACCCAAATCTTATAAAATGGCCCCACCCCTATATCCCTTTGCTGAATCTCTTTTCGGACTCAGCCCGCCTGCACCCAGGTGAAATAAACAGCCTTGTTGCTCACACAAAGCCTGTTTAAGTGGTCTCTTCACAGGGACGCCAGTGAAAACGGTTAAAGACCTTGGCTCAAACTTAAGCCTAATATGTTTCCACTGAGGGTTAGACAGAGAAGTGATGTGACTGCATTTCATTTTAAAAGATTACACTGACTGCTGTGGAGAACAGATCAGTGGTCAGGAGTGGGGAAGGCAAGAGTATGAAGTACGGGAACTAAAAATAATCCAGGCCGATTGAAAATTCAAGAATAATGTGGCTGGAGGGTGATAAGATACGAGGTTATAGAGATGAATTGGAGGTGGGGCATCATAGAGTATATTGTAATGATATGGGAAGATGTCTACCCTATGATCCAACAATGTACACAGGACATTCATTTCTTCTACATCCTCCAAGTATTTCTTTGTTTACAAGGCCAGCCATTTGACTACATTTAATGCCTCCTGTCCATCAAATCAATTTGTCCAAACAACCAATTTTTTAAAAGCTAGAGTCTAAAAAGAATACCTTTGATAAATGTCATGATATATCCAATGCCAAGTGAGTTAGTTAGATCCTGTCAGAAAGAAAGAAAGAAAGAAAGAAGAAAGAAAGAATGGAAGACAGACTTTTTATCCTTTTCTTTTAATGCCAAGCCTCACCATTGCAATTATGATTCATTTCATAAGGTAAACGTTTCCAGAAACTAATATCACATTTGCACTTGCATTAATTATTCTGATTATATGTTATGTTGAAAATACTCCACCAAAATGTTTGAGTCTTTTCTCCCCTTTATTTCAGCTTGTCAGGAGCCCAGAGAGTACCAAATGAATAGAATTTCTCAAATAAAAAAAATTAGACATTATATTCTCTATGATTTACAGAGTTGAGCTCAATGCAAGAAGTTCCCAAAAATGATGAGTTCCTCATTTCTGAACACATTTAAGCAGAGCCTGGAAGATTACTTGAGAGCAAGAAGGTGAAGTAGATGCACGAGAAAAAAATGACCTTAAAAAATTCTTCCCAGCTATTCCCTTCAATAATTTATTGTCGGTCCACTCCACATAAAGATCGAACGGCATTTTAGCTCTTAAGCTTCATAACTCTCGAGAAAGTAAATTTTTTTTTATATTTACAATTATTTATCTCCAATTGCAGAATCTTACCAAGGCTATTGGACTTATCTTATTTATCCTGTTTATTAAAGGGGGGTTTAATTCACTGAGAATTAAATGAGGTTGCTTTTGAGTTCTTATGATGTGTGCTTTGCCAAAGCAGATTTTAGAAGATGTTAAGTTTCTATTTGACCAAAATCATGCTTCCAAATGCGACTAAAATCTCTTTGTTTTACAGAGGAGGAAACTGAGTAATTTGAGTTTTGAATATAGGCATTAGCTGATGTAAATACTTTCAGCTTTCTATATCCTTCCATAGCCATACCCCAGCATAGCATGTGAAAAGTGCATAGATTTTAAAGATAGATAAACATGAGTTTATCTCTAGCTCTGATATTTACTGTTTACCCTTGGAAAATTTACTTAACCTCTCTGAGTCTCTACTTTCTCATCTCTAAAATGCAGATGTAGTATTTAACTTGATATAAGTATTAGAACAACTTATGAACAATGCTTGGCACATGGCAAGACACTGGAAATGGAAGTTACTATTATTATTAATAATGACCTCTCACTCCCAAGATACCAATCTCTGTCACATTTTGATTTTTTATCCTCTCCTTTGTCGTATGTAGTCTGGGGTCAACTTGTTTCCACTTTATCTCTGCTTGCTACCTCACTCCTACCTGTTCAAAACCAGATCTGCAGGGCCAGAACTGGAAATGGTAATAGGAAAGAAATGCCTTCTGTTGGTTTACTTGTGGAGCTGTGATGGTTCCAGCCACCTCCCACTTTTTCTGCTCCTTTTCTGGAAATCTGAGCCTCAGCCCAGGAATCCTGAGAACAATATCTTCCAGTGGATGTGGATGAGTCCTCTTTCATCCTTTTCATTCTTTGTGTATAAACACACTCTATTAAGTGGCGACTCTTCCAGGAACTAAGAATAAAAAAAGTAAAATAAAATTATTATAAAGACAGTACCTGCAGGAAAGGAACATATAAACCTCCTGGCCACCTTTCCACTGCCAGCTGTCTGACCCACCCCTCCCCACCTATACATACACTCTCTTTGCACCAGAAGTGAAACTGTGGCCATTCAACATAGGAGGAAGCAGCATAGTGAAGAGCTGGCTGGACTAGAACCACGTTTTATAAAATCTTAGTCTGTGGCTCTTTTTACCAAGGCCTCAATCTCTAAAAGATATTCTTATGTAGAATTTAAATCAACTCTTTGTTTTTTCTAACTTAAACACAGTCAACACCCAATTTCCTGCACTGATGAAGAAAATAAGTTATGGTTGATGCTAGAATACTTTGTATAATGAGTGTTAGTTTTCTAGAGATATACTTTTCTAATTACATTCAGCTGAAGGCAGCATAGTGGAAAGGAATGGGTAACAGCTTAGGTGTCAGAGTGTTTGAGTTATTATTTTGTAGACACTGTCTATATCATCTATCATTCGACCTTAAGATGACAATTCATCTCTCTAGGATCTTTAGCATTTTTTTCCTTTTGGAATATTCATGAATATTTAGAGAAATATGCCATACCAGAATTATGCATTTTAATAAAAGGTCGCATTGTGCAAATTCATCTATGTGTCCATGGCATGTACTGCAGAACCTGGAACATAGTAAAAGTTCAGGTAATGCTTGTACAAAGAAGGGTCTGCTTTGCTTTGTCCTCTGCCATGCACTAGTTGTATAATTTGAGGCAAGACCTCCCTTCTGCTTCTCAATTTCTTCCTCTACTAAATGAGGATTAAAAACCTTCCCTAATAAGTTATGATGATAATAATCATATCTAAAGCTTATTTAGATACGATAATTTACATTGGATACGTCTGTGCACTTTTCTTGCTTCATTTCTTTTGTTCCATATGACAGCTTTATGTAGTAGGCATACTGGTTCCATTTAGCAGGTGAGAAAATAGAGATCAAAAGCGCTTAAATAAATTGGCTTACCTAGAGAATGATTGTTTGAGAAAGAATTCAAACAATGTCTTTAGCTTTTCAAATTTAAGATCTACTAAAGTGGATTTTCATACCCTGAGCACATCACACTGGCTAAAGATGGAAGATGATCAGAAGGTGGCTGAGTGTCACCCAGAAGCCCTGCAGAGGGAAAGTTGCAGCAGGATAGAGTACATTCAGATGTAGATAATAAGGAGTATTGTCCTCTGCCTCAGCCATTTGGGGTAGGCTAGGATATTTAAAAACTGCAGTCTTCTGAGTTGAGTAAGGCTCATGCTGGGAGAGTAAGAGGGGCAGCAAAGTATGAGAAAAATCACAGGTAGGAAAAGAAAGCATGAGAGGACATAGTGTGAAGGCATGGCTGTCAGTAGTGTAGCCTGTGTACAAATCTCTGTTCTTTACCATATGATTTGTGACCTTGAACAAGTTTCTGAACCTCCTTGGACCTCTGTTTGCTCATTTAAAATGTGGATAATAATAGTACTGACTTCCCTCAGTGGTCATCAGTGGAGGATGAGATGATGTAGGTAAGTTCTCAAGACTGGGCACTTAGTAAGTGCTTAGTAAATATTAGCTAAAACTATTAGAGATGGAAAGATCTAGACCATTTCCTGTATGTAAATTGGTGAGTATGCTTAGATGTGTAAAGAGAAGGCATGCTTCCCTGTGCCTGTTTGTGACTGTCCTACTTTGCCTGACAGTGGCTCTTTTTTTGGGAGTGACATTTTAAATCAGTCCCCTCTGGTTTCTGGATAATGATGCTGCCTAATATAAAGGTTATCTCTCAGGATCACATCACTGTCCTGTGGCAGGTGGTGGCAATGGGTTAGATTAGATGTCAGCAATAGCTTAACTCCAGAAGATGCTAAGAAAATCAGTGATGCATAGCTTAACCTAAGCAGTAGTTCAACGTACCACACTTTTCTCCAACTCCCCGTGGTCTTCTCTCTCTGACTTTAGTTTTCTTTATTTTCTCCCCCCGTCCCCCTTCCCCTTTTCTCCTTTGAATTTGTCCCTGAGGGATGTGACTGTATTTTGAATCCAAACATGTATTATAGAAACACAGAAACAGATAAAAATTCTGCTTGGAGTTGAGACTGTGAGACAGTAAAGCAGATATTAAGGGTTATCAGAAGAGCAATATATCTCCAAATGTCAAATCTCTAAGAGTAAAGATCGGAGAAAGGAACCCACTGCCTTACAAACAAAAGATTTTGTGTGTACAATTTGAATGTCCTCACTTCTCCAACACTGTGTCATTTTTTAAGTCGACGAACACAATCTGAGTTCCCATCCTCCACAGCTGCAGGAAATCTGTCAGTTTCTCTCCTTTACCCTTGCAAGTCATTGTGGAAATCCTCTGGGAATGGCAACATATTGTGAAGATTCATTCTAGTTGCTTCTTGCTTTCTCTTACTCTCTTTACTATTCCTCTGATTATCTTTTCCTCCTATGGACACCCTTCCAGCCTACTTCACCCCACACGTGAACCAAACGTACGTCATCCCCCCCACCAACCATGGCTGACACCAGGTGATGGTGCTTAACCAAGCTGAACTAAAGGCTTAAGTGTAACATATAGAAATTTAAATGCAGAAATAGTACACTTCCACCTCTAGAACTGGCTATCAAATACCACTGTCCCCAGGGACCATGATTTCAGCTATTCTTGGGGGATCCCGAGGACTATCGTCCCTTCTTTCTCCTCTGCCCTGACCTACCACACTTTTGCAGATATGTATGTACTGCCCTCTTCTGACCCTTGCCCCTGCCAAGGCTTCCCTGTGGACACAGGAATCAAAATTAAAAATCAAAGTAATCCGTGTGGAGTCATACTCTGCCACTGATGAAGACAAGACGTTCAGCTCCCCATATCTGTACCCCTTCATTCCAGTATAGGCACTCAGCTTGACTTTGCAAAACTGAGATGTTTTCAGTGGCATATTTTTCCCAAAACAAGAGAAATGTGACTCTTAACATCAAGTTTAAGACTCTATGAAATCACAGAAAGTACTTAATAAAACTTGGCATTTAATTTCTCTACTTAAGGCTTCATTCTAAGATCCATTTCTTAGGTTGGGCTCAAGGTCAATGTCACTGGCATTCCTTCCTGGTCCAGACTCAGCCTGTGAGAAGCTTTTTCCAAATCTATGGCAGTGATAGTGGGCAGCATTCAGACCAGGACTGAAGAGATCTTTCTATCCCTTTCAGAACAAAACTTGGGAGTCTCAGATTTATTTTCCTGAAAAATAGTGTAATACCACATCTTTGTCCCTTTCTTTTTGGGAGAGAATTATTCATCCATAATAAGAAATTATTAGTATATTTTAGATAAGCACTTCAATTACCCTTTCTTGACATTCATTAGTTTCTTCATAAGGATTTGAGGAAAAAATAGAGAGATCTGAAGAGGCTAGCACTTCAGCTTTCCCACATATGTACCATGAGCTAAATGTCACTGTGCCATTCATGTAGATGCCATTCAACTTATTTTTATCTGTTGTCTCTTACACAAAGGGTTTCAAATGTTTTACAATGAGAAAGATAAGAAGTAAGAGGAAGGTGTTTGACAAATTGGGAGGAGTTATTGCTGGGGAAACAGAATAAAAATGGCAAAGCAATTTACAAAGAGGGAGAGAAAACTGAACTGTAAATAATGAGCAAGTTTGGAATGCTTTCCTAATGTGAACTTTGTTTGTATAATATTTAGGGGATAGAAAGAGGAAAATATCCAAAAATGTAAGACAAAATACTTGCAATAACTATGTGGTTTAGGTAGGCTTGAAGGTGATCAGAATATAACACCACAAAATAAAATAAAGAGTAGAAGGTGCCATGAGAAAGGTAATAGGAGGCTGAGGAGTGAAGATGGCTTGAGCCTAAGAGTTTGAGATCAGCCTGGTCGACATATTGAGACCTTGTCTCAACTAAAAATCAGAAAAAAATTAGCTGTGTGTGGTGGCATGCACCTGCAGTCTCCCTGCTTAGAAGATTGAGATGGGAAGATTGCTTGAGCCCAGGAGGTCAAGGTTGCAGTGAGCAGTGATTGCACCACTGCTTTCCAGGCTGGGCGGTGGAGTGATAACCTGTCTCAACATAAATAAATAAATAAATAAATAAATAAATAAATAAATAAATAAATGTAATAATTTAGTAGAAATAAAAATATGTTTGTAAAAGTGACTTTATTAAAGAATAGAGTTGGTGAAAAGGTAGTGAAAGGTTTGTGTGGGTGAGGAGTGGAGTCCCCACTTTGTCCTTTTGGATGGAAATTTATCTGGGACACACAAAATGGCACCAAAGTCAGGCCATGTGTAACAAGCAAATGCAAAAACAAAGAATTTCTGTTGTTTACTAAGCCAAGACTCAATAAAGGAGGAGCTGTGAGCAGAAACATAGAAGATAAAATCCTAAAGGTAAGACAATCAATTCTGGAGATTGGAGGTATAAAACCCACAAAGCCCACTCAGTAGGCAGAGAGGCTGCCCTTTCCGAAGGCCTTAACCACTGTACTGTTCTGCCGGTCAATCTGTAACCCGTGAAAGTTAAGGGAAGCAGAGTAGGAGGAGGATACTATTGAATCGATCTCTCTGTGGCTTTGTTTGCCTAGAAAGTGCAGTATTATATTGTAATGGAAGTGTATCGGGTACAACTTTGCTGGATGCCAGACACTGTGCTGGGTTCTTTTCATTCATCATCTCTAACCTCTACCTCCACTCTGCATGCATTTTACAAATGAAGACTGAAATACAGATTCATATATGGTAGTGACTGGTGAAGCTGGGAACAATTAGGGCATTGTTGGAGGACTCAGTTAACAATTCTAATTAATAATAAACCAGGAACTTCTTTTATGAAACTGGGGTTTGGTCACAGGGCTTATCTTCTTCACCTTACAGAATATGCTGTGGAAGGTGCAGGAGTGTGGAAGTCCGAAGGCTCCAGTATATTTCTGTTTCTGTCACATATGACTTATGTGGTTTTAGAGGTTGTTTAACCTTTCCATGCCTCCTTATTCTTATCTATAAAATGAGTTTTGCTTCTATAGAATGGTATGGCAGTCAAATTTTACAGTGGCTGTGAAAGCCCTTTGGCAATGATTGCCAGTTCTGTGAGTAGTTATTTTGAATGACGGTGCCCTGATTTGGCCACGAGTATATTCTTGTTCTTCTTCTGTTCTAATGAATCTTCAGTTACTATCCATTTGTTTTAATCAAGATGAAGAAATAGGAAATTCTCAATCTAATAATAGCAAGAAATAGAAACTGACTTATGGTAAGTTACTAAAATGAGGTGTATTCTAAGAGTCCTGGATATTTTGTAAAACTTGATAAGTAGAGCCCCATACTTCATAAGGACAACTGCCAAGAACTCAAGCAATTTCTTTCCACTTCCTTTTTTCTTTTGACATTGGTATCTTGTAGACATTGGTTTAATCTTTTTCTTTTTAAGATCAGCTTCCCTGCCCATTTACCTACGTGCATATGGCCATTTCTTGCGACAATGGAAACCCCTGTAGTCTACATGATCCTTCATTTTGTCAGCCTTGCATCAGATTCTGTGTTTCAATTCTAAATTCCTAAAGGAGAGCATGTGAAAGGCTCAGGCTAGTTCAGGTATATGCCTCTGTCTTCAACCAGAGAGAGAGGTTCTGGGGCTGAGATTAAGTTCATCTTTTCTAGGCTACAATAGGACATTTGTTACAAGAGAGAAGTGGGGCTGAGGAAGAGGGCATTGGAAGAGGGTGTTATCATCTCTTCTCTAGGTGGGCACATTATATGTCTTACAATAAACCCAAAATGTTTTACATGTAGTATCTTTCTACATTAAAATGATCCTTTGATATACCAGAAATAAAGAGTAAGAAAAGATAAGTCACTTTTCCCAATATTAGTCAGGCATACTTGGATATAATTATGTCACTGAGAAGAGACCTAATGTCATTACAGGCCACGATAAGACATTTAGGATAATACACATTATCCTTTTACTGTACAGCACATGCACTCTCTGTGCTTTACAAATATACCCTACCAGGTAACTTTCATAGCTATAACCTTCTCTGATGCTGAAAATATTCCTTTAGGGTTACTGGAACCCCATAGACAGTGAATTGAAAAGGCAGAAATGCAGTTTTACTATTTCTTTGGACACCTGTAGAGAAATCATTGTCCTGGGTTTGATTTAATCAGCCAAGAGTGTTAAACTCTAAATATTTAAAATAGATAAGTGAATGATTCTTTAAGGATCATAAAGTTTCTTTGCATCCCTTGGCAAATGCATTATTTAAAACAGGACAATCACTCCAGTGTTTAAAAGTTGAGTTCTGCTCCAGGACATGGGCTTCTTGCCAGGAATGAGCAAAGTGCAATAACTTAGAAAAGGCTAATAACTGTGAAATGTTATTACATTATTTGGACACTGCTCTGAGAGAGACTAATAGCAGTGACTTTAATGTGTGAACTGCTGGGCTACAGAAGCAAACAGAACTGGTTTTCTGTCCATCAATAATTCCAAGGGATAACAGACCTTATTCAATTGTCCTGTGTGCAAGCCTCATCAGAATCTGCAGGCTTTTGGATTGCCCCAAAACACTGCCACAGGCTCTTTCCCATCTCCCCACTTTCCTTGGCTGAAGCACTGATTCTTTTTATGCTTGAAAAAGTTGAGACTGATGGAATTAGTTTTTGAATTGCTTAGAGAAGAAAAGTGTGGGACACTTTTGAAAAAGAAAGGTAAGGTGAGAAACAGCCATAGTGTGTCATAATAGCCACCTTTTGGGCAAAAATTCAACCCCATTCTCTCTGTCAGTTGCTGGAAGTGCCTCTCTGAATAACTTTATCTGGGCCAGGAGAAAAAGCTGAGCAATCTGGACTCATTACATTCTCTTCTCAGAGTTTGGAATTCATTTTTCAAAGAATTTAAAAGCTTCTTTCGAGTGAAAGAGAAAAGAATGAGTCAGACGTATACAACAAAAAGTAAAGAAGTGAGTTTACAAGTTTCCATAGAAAGAGAGAGTAAGAGTGGTCGCCGTGCTGGCTGATGGCTTTCCCTCTGCTGATTCATTGTAAAGCATCTCCTGCCTTTGGTTTCTGGGAGATAATTCTGAAATCTTAACTAAAACAATAAATACTAAAGTATTCATATGTGAGGTAGTAGGAACAGGTTTCTGTTACTTGTAACCAAAGGAGCTTTGAGATAATTGACAGCAAGTTGATAAGTCAATGAGAATGGAGAAAGGATGAGATAATAAGGAGATTAATTGAAGAGCCCTTTTACAAAGTTTCAAGACTTTGGTACTTATATTTATTTTGTTTGGGATTTTAAGCTTGTTTTTGAAGGACAAGTCTTACAAATTCCTCTTTTAGAAAATAGAAAATTGAGCAAAATAATTCTTTGCATTTTATTTTACTTATATAAAGCTAGTCAAGATATTAATTTGGGGGAACAAAATAATGAAGCCAGCTTACAAATTCTCAAAATGAATACTTGATTAAAGCAAACCTCTTCCTTGACAATCAAACTCAAAATGAGAGAAACTCTCTCAAAACAGAGCCCACGCTCTTCACCACAGAAACCATGGCCCAAAGAAATTATTTATTTTACATAATAGTGTGGCCACTTTTAATGATTATGGGTGTAACTGGTCATTTTCTTTAATAAGTATGAAGAGATAAGAATGACAAATCCACTATGTATAAGAGAAAAGACTGAATCAAGAGAACACATTGAAACAGAGGTATTGAAGATGGAGCCATTGCTCCTAAGACAAAAATAGAAGGAATGTTGATGGCTGCTGTCATTTCTCATTCAGAATCAGACAATTCTCAGTTGGGGGTGATAAAGAGCCAACAGCTTCTCAGTACCAAAACTGAGGAGAGATGTGATTGGGCAATACTATCATTTCTAGGGGGAGCAGCTAATAAGAATGTAAAAGATGAAAAAAACACATTTATTTGATATAGAATTGAACTATGTTATTAATGGAAAAAATCAATATTTGTCTTCATGACAGGTGACGAGTAAAGGGAACCAGCCGGACTAAGGCTGAGTGTTGAGAAATCTGATCTGTAATAGTGGGAATTACATTCACCCATGTTAATACAAACTTCCTACCATATCGAAGAAACAGATAAGACCATCATGAACATCCTGCTTATGCCTGAAGCAGTTGTTATGCTTCAGAAGACAGAAGCAATAGCCAAAAGGAAAACCTCCTAAGGAGAGAAGTTGGGTTACCAGCTGCATGAGGCAGTAAAAGTGGGATGATGAACTGCAAAAGACAATTACAGTTAAGAAAGTTGCGGTAATGGCATTCTGAGATTTTCTTATCCCATAAGTTGTGTATCTATGTTGTAGTCTAGGTGAAATAAAGTGACAGGGAAAGGTGTGGTTCAATAAATACCATTTCCTTTAAATTAGTAATTCTTGAATTTTAATGCGCCCATAAATTACTTTGGAATCTGGACAAAATGCAGATTATGATTCAACAGATCTGGGAAACGGCCCCAAATTCTGTTCCCAGGTGATTCCAGTACTTCAGGTTTGGGGACCACACTTTGAAAAGCAATTCTTTCCACTCTGTGGAGAAGTGACTGGCAGGATGTCATTGTCGACAGGGATGTTTTGAGGCAGAATCATCTTTGTTTACTCTCAGTACTAAGACTTTTTTTTTTTTTTTTTTTTTTTTTTTTTTTGAGACGGAGTCTCGCTCTGTCGCCCAGGCTGGAGTTCAGTGGTGCAATCTCGGCTCACTGCAAGCTCCACCTCCTGGGTTCATGCCATTCTCCTGCCTCAGCCTCCCCAGTAGCTGGGACTACAGGCACCCACCACCATGCCCTGCTAATTTTTCTTTTTTTGTATTTTTAGTAGAGATGGGGTTTCACTGTGTCCACAGGATGGTCTCGATCTCCTGACCTCGTGATCCACCCGCCTCAGCCTCCCAAAGTGCTGGGATTACAGGTGTCAGCCACTGTGCCTGGCCCTCAGTGCTAAGACTTCTATAGCTTGGGAGACAAAGAGAAGAGCCAGGTGCTGGTGAATGTAAGACTTAATTTAAGGTTGCCTTAAGACTCAAATTACTAAATTCTGAAATAAAAGAGGAAACATTACTATCATGCTTACAAAATAAAATGTATCCTAAGATAATGTAATGAATAGTTGTATGCCAACAGAGTACATAATCTAGATAAAGTGGAAAGATTTCTAGAAAAACTCAACCTATCAAAACTGACTCCAGAAGAAACAGATATTTTGGGTAGACTTATAAAAAGTAAAAAGATTGACTTAGTAATCAAAATTTTCCTATAAGGAAAGCCCAGGACCAATGGCTTCACTGGTGTATTGTACCAAATATTTATAGAATAATTAATATCAGTCCTCACAAATTCTTCCAAAAAATAGAAGAAGAAGAAATACTTTCTACAAGATAGGTTAAAGACTTAAATATTAGACCTGAAACCATAAACATTCTAGAAGAAAACCTAGGAAAAACTCTTCTGGATATTAACCTAGACGAAGAATTTATGACTAAGACCCCAACACTAAATGCAGCAAAAAAAGGAAAATAAATAAATGGGATTTAATTAAACTAAAAAGCTTCTGCACAGTAAAAGAAATAACCAACAGAGTACATAGATAACATACAGAGTGAGAGAAAATATTTGCCAACTACAGATCTAATATACAGAATCTACAAGGAACTCAAAGAAATCAGCAAGAAAAAAATAAACCCATTAAAAAGTGGGCAAATGATGTGAACATTTTTCAAAAGAAGACATACAAGCAGCCAACAAATGTGAAAAAATGCTCAACATCACTAATCAAAGAAATGCAAATTAAAACAACAATGAGATATCAGCTTACTCCAGTGAGAACAGCCATTATTGAAAAATCGAAAAACAATAGATATTGGCACGGATGAAGTGAAAAGGAAAGCTTATACCTTGTTAGCAGGAATGTAAATTAGTTCAACTTCTATGGAAAACAGTATGGAGATTTCTGAAAGAGCTTAAAGTACATCTACCATTTGATCCAGCAATCCCACTACTCAGTATTTACCCAAAGGAAAATAAGTCACTATATCAAAAAGACATATGCATTAATATGCTTATCACAGCATAATTCACAATATGGAATCAACCTAAGTGCCCATCAACTGGTGACTAGATTAAAAAAATGTATGGATTTTCTGTGGAATTCTACTGTGGAATACTACTCAGCCACAAAAAAGAATGAAATAATGACTTTTGTGGCAACTTGGATGGAATTAGAGACCATTATCCCAAGTGAAGTAATTGAGGAACAGAAAGCAAAATACTACATGTTTTCACCTACAAGTGAGAACTAAGCATTGAGTATGCAGGGGCATACCAAGTAGTATAGTGGACATTGGAGACTCAGAAGTGAGGAGGATGGGAGAGGGGTAAGGGATTAAATACTATCTATTGTGTACAATGTACTCAATTATTTCGGTGACAAGTGCACTAAAAGCCTAGACTTCACCACTGTACAATTCATCCTTGTAACCAAAAACCCTTGTAACCCTAAATCTATTGAAATTTTAAAAATCTGAAAAAATTTGTTTAAAAGCCCAGTTTGTAGTCTGTGAGGACATAGAGTACTTTTTATAATTTCAGTAATTCCTCATGCCTTACTTCTTCATATTCCCTGCTTCCTAGGGCTTCTCCATTTCACAGATGTTCTGTTCACTTTGTCCTGCATCCATGTGGAAGAGAAACAGGCTCCTCTTTAGTTTCCTGTAAATTCCTTTACACTGACTATTTTGTAAATATAGGAATTAAGCTTTTAGTATACTTTCCAAAAACTGTGAAAGTTTCTTCAGAAACTTTTCCATTCAAAGTCCAGAGTAATACTTTTTATGTGTTTGTTTATTTTCCTTTAATTGACAAATAAAAATTATATATATTTGTGGTGGATCACATGATGTTTCGATATAGGTATACATTGTAGAATGACTAAATCAAGCTAACATATCAATTACCTCAATACTTATTTTTTGTGTCTGATGAAAACATTTAAAATATACTTTCTTAGAAATTGTCACACATATAGTATGTTTTTATTTCACTGTAATCACCATGTTGCATAATAGATCTCCTGAACTTATTTCTTTTGTAATTGGAATTTTACTTTTCATTTACAAATAATAATTGTATGTATTTGGGGGTGTATAGTGATGTTGTGAAACATATAACATATAGTGATCAGACCAGGGTAATTAGCATATCTATCATCTGAAACATATATCATTTTTTTTGTGTGTTGAGGACATTCAATATCCTTCTTCTAGCTATTTGAAACTATATATTAATTATTGTTAACTATAGTCATCCTTTAGTGCTATAGAACACTGGAATGCATTTGTTCTATCTAGATGTAATTTTGTATCCTTTAACACATTTTTTCCTATTGCCCCCTTTCCCCTACCCTCTCCAGCCTCTAGTATCCTCTGTTCTACTCTTCACTTCTATGAGATCAACTTTTTTTTTTTTTAAGCTCCCACAGATTAGTGAGAACACGTGGTTTTTAACTCTCGATTCCTGGCTTATTTCACTTAACATAATGCCCTCCAGTTCCATCCATCTTGCAAATGACAGGATTTCATTCTTTTTGATGGCTGAATAGTATTCCATTGTGTGTATACACACCACATTTTCTTTATCCATTCAACTCTCACCTGGAAGTGAAATTTTATTTTCTTTGACAAACATCTTCCCAATTCCCCATTTTACCCTTGCCCCGCACCCCTAGCTCCTGGTAACCACTGTCATACTCTGTGCTTCTATGAGTTTAATTTTTTAGATCCACATATAAGTGATATAATGTGGTATTTGTCCTTCTGCACTTGACTTGTTTCTCTTAGTTTAATGTCCTTCAGATGCATCCCTGTTGTTGCAAATGACAGGAATGACTTCTCTTTGAAGACTGAGAAGTATTAACATTTCATTGTGCATGTATACCATGTTCTCCTTATCCATTCATCCACTGATGAACAGTTGGGTCTACCCTATGTCTTGGCTGTTGTG
The DNA here is from genome assembly GCF_000001405.40 of Homo sapiens. NCBI lineage: Eukaryota > Metazoa > Chordata > Mammalia > Primates > Hominidae > Homo > Homo sapiens. Next base: position 161,269,090 of record NC_000005.10, read on the forward strand.
AATAGTGTTATAATAATCTTGGAAGTGCAAATATTTTGTCAATTTACTGATTTCATTGATATCCAAAACTAATACTTTTTAAAGCTACTTGTTCTTCATCTCATTTTTGTATTTTGTATGTCACATACACTATAGCTGCCTCCACAAGCTCTCTCCTCCCACACAAGTCTTCCCCAAACTGCCACCCCCCATCTCAATCTAGGAAGGGCCTATTTTCTCTTTTGTTTTTTAATTCCTGAGTCAGCTCTTTATTATACTAGATTCCTTCATTTAATTTTCTTCTCACCTATTTCCTGGAATTGGTGTAAATAAGGAGGATCCTGAGGTTGATTTTTGAAGGCAAGATTTGTTCCTCTTTGGACCTAGAGATGGAGAAGGTGAGGATATTCTGCAGATGGTTAAGGTACTAGGAAACAGAAGGCATAGCCTTAAATTGAAATATTAAAAATACACATATAACTTTTGTTTGTTTTTTTGAGATGGAGTCTCGCTCTGTTGCCAGGCTGGAGTGCAGTGGCGCAATCTTGTCTCACTGCAACCTCCGCCTCCCGGGTTCAAGCAATTCTCCTGCCTCAGCCTCCCAAGTAGCTGGGACTACAGGCACGCACCACCACACCCAGCTGATTTTTGTATTTTTAGTAGAGACGGGGTTTCACCATGTTGGCCAGGATGGTCTCAATCTCTTGACCTTGTCATCCGCCCACCTCAGCCTCCCAAAGTGCTGGGATTACAGGTGTGAGCCACCACGCTCAGCCAAAAATACACACATAAATTTCTATTGCTATTTTAAGGTAATAATTATTGTGCTTCATAGATGGGATGGCTGAGCTTTTCGAAGGGTGATAACTTTCCCATGATGCATAGTCAGAAAAGTCTTTGGTTTATACTAAGAGGCTTACTGGGAGATTGAACTCTCTCACTCTGGAAAGACCCTCACTGTCTCATGGCTGATCAGTACTGTGGAAGCATGCAGGTCCATGAAAAGATTTAAATATTCCCCAGAGCTCATAATAATATAATAACCAGAAAAAAATAGCTATGTGCCGGGATCTTTACTGAAAGGTATTTAGTATATCTCCTGGTTACAGAAAATGAAACTGAGCCTTAAAGATCTTCAGTGATTTATTCAAGTTTTCCCACCTAATATGTGGAAGATATTCAATCTGTGATACTACATTCAAAAGTCTACGCTCATTTTACTATATCTCTCACAAACTGGTGAATATAATTGAAAATGAAATGCTAATGTTGAACTCTGCCTTCAGAACTCTCTAGGCCATTTTCAATAGCAAATTTAGCATCCCAGAGAGGGTAAATAGCTTGTCAATGGTCATATGAAAAGTCAATAGCAGATCTGGAAGAATTATCATCTGATTTCCATCCAAGTATTTTATAGTGGGGTATGAGACATCTTTATTTTATTCTATAAGTTATTTTCTTGTGTGAATCTTATTTCCTTAACAAGACTTCAAGATCTTTGAGGGAAGTATTGCCTCTTAGACTTTGCTAGCTGCCCCCTTTGTGTGCTCTCTCTCCTGTGTTTGCACACATCCAAGCCTAATTGGAATAACATTGCATTTCCATAGTGTTTTTCAGTAGGGGTTATCAACTTTTGATGCTTTTGACATTTTGGTCCTCATCATTCCTTGGTGGGCATGGAGAGAGGGGGGCCAGGCTGTCCTCTGCATTGTAGGACGTTTCACAATATCCATGACCTTTAATCATTAGATGCCAGTAGTAGTACTCTCCTCCATCAGATGTGACAACCAAAAGCCTCTTTAGGTACTGCTAAATGTCCCCTGAATGGGTGGTGGGGGGAATGGGAGGAAATATCTCCAATTGAGAAGCACAGCTTTCAGTTTGCAAAGGGTACTTAAAATGTTTGCATTTATTTATATATTTTCAACTAACTCATAATTCTTAGCCATTGTGAGGAGGTGGACTGTCACCATTTTACAGAAGAGGCTTCAGGAGACTAAGAGCAGATCAGGTCAACTGACCCATAGGTTCATCGTTTTTCTTCTACTTACCTCCTTCTACCACAAAGTTAAACACACAGAGGTTTCTGGGTAATATACACTAACTTTAACAATCTTTTTAAAAAATGTGCTATTTTCACTCTCAAATCCTTCATCTTTTATGTTCCAAGCTCTCCCATACCTGAAGCCTTCTTCAGTTAGGCAAGGTAGCCATTTTATCCTTTATTTTACATATGAGGACACTGAGACTAAGACAGATGAAATTTGTTGGCCAAAACAAGAAACTGTTGAAGGTGTTCAATGATTGAATGTTCTTCTGTTTTTCCAGGGAACAGAGACTGTCATTTGTAAAGTTTATTCCTACATCCTAGTATCTAACACATTGTCTGGCACATTATAGGTGTTTCATGAATGATGAAGGAAAGAGTAGAGGAAGGAAGAAGGAAAATCAAGATTTAAACCTAAGTCTGTCTGGTTTTGTCTCCTTTGCTATCCTGCCTTATGATCCCCTCAAGTACTGTTGACTAAGTCCCAGTGACCTAGGTGGTCACTTCTGATAGGAAAAGTTTTAAGAATGGAGGGGGTGGAGGCAGGAGGAAAGACATGACCCGGAAGTCCTCCACTTAGCCTGGCATCCAAGGAGGTTGCACAGCCTATTCAATGGAAGAGGTCCAAATAAGAGTGAATCATCATTTGAGTTTGAAATTAGATGAATTCCACTCAAATTGGAGACAGGCTTTACAGCAGACATCAAACGCCATTCCCATGTCTAGATGGGCTGGGGGTCCATTCATTAGGATTCCATCAAAAAAAGCAAGTAGGGATAAATGCAAAGGTTTTGCTTTCAGGACTCCCTTGATCCCAAACTGTTGCTTGCAAACCTATTTCTCCATCTTCTTTACTGGTAGATTCTCACTACTGCTGAGGCCAGCTGCTCACACAATATGCTTGTAGCAGCATTCCTGGCAGGCTCTTTCTCACCTAGTCTGGTTTATGGCCTTTCCAGCTGACTCTGTGCTCTAACACTCACCTAGGCTTCAGAATCAGGAGATCACAAATGCCTGTAGGTATGGATGCCTAGGGTCAGGTCAAAATTAGTGGGTTAGAAATCACAGTTATGACACTCATAGCTTCATATTAATACACCAACGATAACAATGGCAGCAGCAACATCCTGGAACACTTTTGTAAAATGCTTAAAATCAGCCAATCATTGCTGAAGACGACTGACTTTGCTGTCAGAATCAAGGGATGTGGGAGGACAAAGTTGGTTCCAGTTCTTTGTAACCTAGTATTTCAGACCAATGAAATTAGACTCTTAATGGATCAAATCTACTTAGCTCAAGAAGAAAAAGGGATTTTATTTACTGATGTAACTAAAGAGTCCTGGGCTTTTGTGATATTTAGATATAGGAACTAAACAATGCCATCAGGTATCTCTCTCTGTCCTCTGCCCAAGAAAGGAAAGATCTTTCTCCCAAATTCCATTATCTGTCTCCCCAGAAGAACTCCAAGTGGTCTGTGGGTGACATGTCCATCCCACAGCAAATTATTGAGGTGGGAGTGATTGGTTGATTGCTTCACAAACCACTCTGGAGGTAGAGAATGTGGGGGACCTCCACTGACAGTCCCACTTGCACACACGGGATAGGGCCCCTGATGGGCCTACTCCATTGCTTACTGAGTGTGGAAAGTCAAGGAGTTGAGTTGGGCCTCATAGCGTCATGTGAATTGGATGTGCACTGTAGCACATCCATACAGAACGAATCCTTTCAGAATCTTTTCCTATACTTCTGACATTAAAAGCAGGGTCTTTTCCCTGGTCATTCTCTGCCATTTTTACATCAGAGGTAGAGGCTTGTTTCTTATTCATTTTTCTACCCCTAGAACCCACTCATTAGGAATAGTGGCTTTCTTTTTATTGGATCAACTGGTTTGTCTTTGCCAGAGAAAGAAAATTTCAGTAACAACAACAACCAAAAAAATTAAACAATTTTGAAGCTAGGAACTTGCTTCTAGTAATTGAATATATTCATCTCAGATTATATGGTAACTCAATTATCATATAATAATTGATAACTCATAATTTAATTATCATATAATAATTGATATCTTGTAACTCAATTATCATATAATCTGAGAATTATTGTATAATCTGAGATGAGGGGAAAAAGCCTTGATGCCTGTTCTTGTTTCTCATCTTTGGGGTCCGCAAAATAGACTCATCAAATCCTCCTATATTAAATACGTAAAATCTACAAATTACAAGCTCCTGCAACTCGATGTCATGCCATATATATTCTTTGACCTTGCACATAGTACATATTTTGATTAATCAGTTGCTATCTTGGGCTTTACTAAGTATCTATCAAGGGCTAGGAAATTTGCAAATATTTATAAACTTACAAAGAAGAATAACTTTTAGCCACATTTTACAGATAATGAAGTAGATCAGAAAGTTGTTCTAGCAAGGCCACTGAGCTAATGAGAGAATCTAGGATTCATATCCAGATCTGTCCTGGCTCTAAGCCCATCCAGCATGACTCTCAGGACACTACAGTTTTTATACATGAGACACTGTTCTTTGTCATTTGTGCAAAGATGTTTTTCAGTTGACTAGGTCTTATTAAAATAGCTAAGTGAAGGCACTCTTAAATAAGAAATGCTCTGGGTTTTTGGTTTTGTTTTGTTTTCTTTTTTGGCAAGACAGGGGAATATTGTTCATCCAAATCTTCTGGATCATTAATAGTTAATTTTTTTCTGCAAGTTGATTCTCTCACGTCATCGTTTTTCCTTTTTTCTCACTCTACTTGAGTTAACAAGGGAATTAACATGATCAGTGCATAAATACCACAGCAAAATCTATGAGAGGCTGAAATCAAAGTTGAGTCATTCAAATGCTTGCCCCCATCCCCAAAGAAAGAGAGGTAATAATTAAATATCTTAGATAACAGTATGTAACAGAATACCCCCTGACTTGTTTAAAAAATGAAGCTTCTTTAAGTTTTAATTCCAGAAACCATGATTTGATGAATAAGAAATGGGACAAACCCAGGTGATTCAGATGCAAGCGACTCACCAGCATGTAAATTTTGAAAAAGTCTTGTCTAGGGACTCAGGTATTAACTTGATTCTCATTTGATGTGGTCTCATGACTAAGTAGAAGATTGGTAATTATAGTTTATAATTGCTAGATTATATTAGAAAGGAAGTAGTGGAATGATAGCAGACTGGATTAAGTACCAAGGATCAATAGAGTTCTTTTATGACTGTGGAATGTCTTCTAAAATAATTTTGACAAGAATCTAAATCTATTTCTCCAGCCTTTTCATTATTCCAAAAACTAAGATGGATATTTCAGTGTCTCCAGATACATACCCATAACATGTACCTAAAAATCATTGGGAAAAGAACAATAAAATACACTGATTGACAAAGATAGTCATGTTGCTGTTTTTGATCACTCATTAGTAGGAGGAGAAAAGCAAAGGACTTTGCCAGAAGTAATCAGAAATAATACAGTTTTTTTAAAAACATCCTTCAAGAAAGATCATTTGTGGGTATTGGTCCAATTATAAGCTGCTTGTCATTTTGCTGAGCTCAACTCTGTTTAAACTGGTAGCCCAGAAATGTATCTATTTTCAAATTTGTGCCTTCTGGGCAGCTCACAAAATAAGAAATAAAAATGGGCAATAAACATAAAAAAATTTAATCTCACTAACAATCAAATAAATGCAAAAGAAAATGGTTGTTTTTTCATGAATAACAAATTGGAAAATGCTTTAAGATGAGCAAAACTGTAACAGTGAGAGAATTGGGTAAGCAGTTACTATCATTTACAGAAGATAAAAAGCATGGTTCAGTGAAATGTATGAAATTTTCAAAAACATTCATATAGTTTGTCTTAGCAATTCCCTTTATAGTACAGTACTGCAAATAAGAGTAAGCAGTAACTTGTCCAAGACTGATCTTCCAAAACCTAAAGTGCCACCCACTTAAGGAGTTTGTCATAATGGAAAGCTCTATGGAAAGGCTTTGCCTCCAGGAAAAGCCACTCCAGTCTAGTGACTAATCAGTCCTGAGGGAATATAAGGCTGGGCTCTTGTCCTGATCATGTCAAAAGAGAGGTGTCGTTTCCCCAGTCATGAACACTAATGTAGTAAATTATGTCAAATTAGTTGCTACATCACACAGCTGCGAAACATGAAATTCTAAGATGCAAATTTTAGAGGAGGGCCTTTGACAGGAATATCACCAGTAAGGATCTTACTCTAGAACATAAGCCCCTCAAGAGCTGGGGAAAGATCTGAGGCTATTCTCCTTTCAATTTATGGTCCCTAGCAGGTTACTTGCAAATAATGCTGGTGATGATAATAATGCCGGTACAAATTAATGCTGATTGATTGTTTACCAGTATCAGAAATTTCACATTCACTATCAGGAGTAAATTCTGAGCCTTTTTTTTAAGGGAGAAGATGGACTGCAGCTGCTCTAGTCTAGCTGAAGTCTTTCTTACTTTTACTTAAATATATTGCCATTTAGTTTGGCCTCTCAGGCAATCGATTAATATCTTCAGAGCAATAAATTATATTCTATACAATGGATGTATTTTTTCTACTCCTAGGGCCTATTCATTAGGAATAGTGGCATCCTTTTTGTTGGATCAATTGGTTTGTCTTTGGCAGTAAGAAAAAATTTTGATACATAGGATGTATCCTATCCCTTCATAACACACGGAATCCAACATATCACTCTTGTAAGAAATATCCATCCCACGGTATATGGAGTGACCATGTATACAGTGTGGCTGTGCAGTCACTTTGGGATAGCAGCAAACAAGGCCTTTTATGATTTCACAGTCTGGGCAATTAGTTTAGCACCTCTGTCTCTCTTGAGCAAATGGAAGGTGAGTTAAAAACAGGGTAGACAGAGAAAAGGGACCAAAGTAATCTCTCCCCATTACCTATATAAGCAAATGAACCTCTATTTTGGCTTATGTAAATTTGAGTTGAGTTTCTGTTACTTGAACCTTAAAGAGTCCTAAATCATCGAAAGATTATAGAAAACTCTAAGATGAATGACTGAGAAAGCAAACTCTAAGATGAATGATTAAGAAAGTATTCAGCGTCATAAAGAATGTGCTAGCTAGGAGAATAAAAAAGGAATGAAATCTGCTTTAGCAGGCTAGGGCTGCTGTAACAAAATATCATGGACTAGATTGCTTGAAAAACAGAAATTTATATTCTCACAGTTCTGGAGACTGGAATTTCCATGATCAAGATGCCAGCTGATTCAGTTCCTGGTGAGAGCTTTCTTGCAAGCTTATAGATGGCTGCCTTCTCAACAATGTCCTCATACAGCTTTTTATCCATCTGTGCATGGAGAGAGAGAGAAGTAGAACTCTCTGTCTTTTTCCTTTTATAAAGCCACCTATGCAGCCATGAAGGCCCCACCTTCATGACCTAAACTAACCCTGATTACCTCCCAAAGGCTCAACATCCAAATACCATCACAATGGGGGTTATTCAACACCTGAATTTCAGGGAGACACGAGTATTCAGTACATAACACGATCTGAACTATAATAAAACAGTAAATAACAACAGCAATAATACTAGCTAGGATTTATTTAGCAAGCACTTTGTGTGCTGAATATTCAATGATAATTAAATCATATAATCCTCAGAAAGAAATTATGAAATTGGTATTGGTATTTATCATCACCTGTTTACAGATGAGGAGAGGAAATTAAGGACTGGTTCTGTATTTTGCCCAGGGACTTATATCATAAGGAGTAGGACTTCAGTTCTAGAGACTGTGATGCTAAAGCCCTTGCTGTTAACCATGACCCTTTACTTCTGTTGTAAATATTTTATATCCCCTACCTCCCTTGGCCACTGAAGTTGTGGAAATTCTATAAAGTGCATACACTGCCATTTGAACAACCAACCTCCTTTTCAATGTTTAAAATCTATTTTCCAAAATGGACACCTTGGGTATTTTAATGTATTTTCTGCCTTAAAATAAAAGCAACCATGGTCATTCAATCACTCATATACTTATCTGCTGGATACCAGTTGAGTTCCTGCCTGCACAAGCCATATTGCTGGGCATAATGATGCACAGAGAACGAGAGCCTTTTTCATTGTTACTATGGTTACTTCTGCCAAACTTCTAACTTCAGGAGAAATGCTTTAAATGAACAAAAGCAATAAACTGTATGGGGCTTTATCTCAGAAACCATGTTGCCATACAGCTTCAGGAGAAAATTCTTTCCATTCTAGTGTGTGGAAGTGAGGGGTTTTGAACTATTCAAATATCTATGATAGGATGTTGAATCACCAGGTATGGGAAAAAAGTTGACTATCAGATAAAATGACTGCTTCAGAAAAGTCAGAGAAACCTGAAAGTAGATAATTGCAGGGAGGAAAGAAGATAAAAGCCAAGGGAAAAGGACCTAGGTCAATGTAACAGCTTGTTTTTAAAAATGCAATAATGTGATATAGCAAAGAATTCCCATCTTCATAGCTTAAAGGAGCAAGTATTTGTTCTTGGCTCATGGATCTGCTGGTCAGCTGAGAAAGCTCTGCTATAGACAGTATGCAGAATTTAGATCTACTCTCTTTGCCCCTCTTTTATTGGAATCAGTAGCTTCCAGGGGCATCCCCTTCCCATGGTGGGTGGCAGGGCCAGACGCTGCAGGATTTAGGGGAGGATGTTTCCATGCTTCTTCCTAGCTTCTAGTGGTTGCCAGCAATCTTTGGGATTCTTAGTTTGTGGTAGCACAACTCCAATCTCTGTCTTCGTCTTAACAGAGCCATCTTCCTTTTGGTCTCTGTGTCCAAATTTCCTCTTCTTATGAGAACAACAATCCTTGGATTAGGGCCCACCCTATCCCAGTATTATCTCGTCTTTACTTGGTTACATTTTCAGATTTAATATCTCTCCTTCCATCTCCCAGACTTTATAGTCACTTAGGCAATTTCTTTTGCATGATATGTGCTTCCCTTTCTCTGCTTGTCTACTGGTTCCTTAAGGCCTAATTCATCCATCTGCATCCTCCATTACATTCTAAATCGATTGTGTGCAGGTTTGGAAGACTTTTTCACTTCTCAACTTCTATCCTACTTGGTATTTGGTAAGGAGTCAAAAACAGTTTGTTGAATTTATTTTAATCAAGAAAAAAATCAGTCATAAGGATTTTACCCTGTGCCATCACATGCAGGAAACTGTCCTTCCCTAGGAAAATAGAATAAAGGGAAATGGCATTGAAATAAAAGTCTTCTATTTGGAATTCTGATAACTGATACTATTAGGCATAATTTTTTGAGATATCTCTAATTGGAGTCATGCCTCATTCAGAAGTGATTAAAGGTGTCATTTAGGTGAAAAATCAAACCTCTCTTTTTGATTACATCTGTAATTATAATGCACTAACAGAACGAATGTAAATACAGAAGACTCATGTGCTTTTGACACCAAAATGTAGTTGTAATGGCAAAAATGAGATGCTGTGGCAGCCACTCATGTTAATTACCTCAGGATTTCCATATAGTCAATCCAGTGTCGTAATGCATTATAGAAATTATGTTTTGCATGTTTAATTGATATGTTTTGGCAGGTGGTTCAAGGTCCTTCTTCTATTTTCAAAGCTAGAGCAGTTTCCAGAATTTCCGTCATGTACCAAGTTATGCCTGAGATAGACTTGGAAACTTTTGGAGTCTGAAGGAAATTTTGAATCATCCTTCAATCATCTATTCTACTTTTCTCTCCCTCTCTCACTCTGTAGGTGGTGAAACTGCAGCTCAGAAGTGAGATGCACTAGAACTCAGGATTCTTTCATTGGGCCACGTGGCACACTTTACTTCTGGCATGAACTAACCTTTCACTAGCATGCCTCCCAGTGTAAACCAAACTCCTTTTAACAAAGACTTTTGTCTCAGTTATATTCAGAGTGCAAGTGGTAAAATACAAAAATAAGACTAGTTTTGAACTTTCATATTCGCAAAAGTAGAGGCACAGGTGTCTCCATGTGATCCAATGAAACCATCTGGACATGGTCTTACTCTTTGCATTTCTTGTCTCTGCTCTCATTTGTGTTGGCTCAGTCCCCAGGCAGACACTCTCCTTGTGCTGGCAGATAGCTGCCAGGAGTGTCGCTCTTATGTCCTGCCACATCCTCAAATCCAGCTGCAATAAAGACATATCCCACCCACACACTGAAGTCCCAGGATTGCAGGCCATGGATGGGACTGACTTGGTCTCTTACTTATCTTTCTACAAATCCCTGTGGCCAGGTGGGATAGATTAGATTAATTGGTCAGGCCTGAATCATGTGGCAGCTCTGAAGCCCTAGTCATCACAAGGGTTATGAGTGGAGAAAGGTGGTTCCCCAAGGTGTGGGTGGGATAATGAAGAAGTGTGACTCAGTGGGGGAAGTGGTATTTTACCTCTGAAATTGTTGACCATTGAGGGATTATGATGATAAAGCTAACTTTCAGTCAATTTTATTATTGTTTTGCAATTATTTTCAGACAGCATATCTCCTTATTGTCTACATCAGGGAGAACTCTTGTCTTATCTAATGGTAAGCCATTATCCTCAATATGGTATAGACAGGACAATATAAGAAATGTTCATTATAAATGTAGGTCAGAAAATGAAGATGACTAATTATGTCGATGTAAGCAGCATATACAGCATATACACTTTGCATTTATAGCTGCATATATACTTTACACATATAACAATAGGTATAGCATATACACTTTGTACTTTGCAGAATGTTTTCACATAAGTACCAAAAGATTATTTCTTCTACTTTATATATGAGAAAGCTGAACTTCAGAGGGTTGAAATGAAGTTCCTGAGCTCATATAGCAAGTAAGGCTGGTAGCTAGTTTTGTGACTAAGTTTTGGGCTTTTCTATTTATACCCTATATAAAATATCTAGGTCTCATTTTCATTGTCATTCTCCTTTTCTCTAATAGGTGTTGGGGTCAAGAGAAGAGAAAATTGTGAGTTGCAAATAAGTAAGATACATGTAAACATGACCCTGACCCTGTGGCAAACTTCTGCCTGGGCATCCAGATGTTTCCATACATCTTCCAAAATCTAGGCTGAGGTCCGTTCTGAAACCCCAATTCTTAATTTCTGTGCACTTGCAGACTCAACACCAAATGGAAGCTGCCAAGGCTTGGGGCTTGCACTCTCTGAAGCCATGGCCCAAGCTCTGCATTGGCCTCTTTCAGCCACGACTGGAGTGGCTGGGGCAACTGGGGTGCAGGGCACCAAGTCCCTCAGCTGCACACAGCTCAGGGACTCTGGGTTCAGCTCAGGAAGCTGCTTTTTCCTTCTAGGTCTCTGGGACTGTGATGGGAGGGGCTGCCACGAAGACCTCTGACATGCTCTGGAGACATTTTCCCCATTGTCTCGGAGATTAGCATTTGGTTCCTCATTACTTATGCAAATTTCTGCAGCTGGCTTAAGTTTCTCCTCAGAAAATAGAATTTTCTTTTCTATTGCATTGTCAGGATGCAAATTTTCCATACTTTTATACTCTGCTTCCCTTATAAAACTGAATGCCTTTAACAGCACCCAATTTACCTCTTGAATGCTTTGCTGCTTAGAAATTCATTTTGCCAGATTCCCTAAGTCATCTCTCTCAAGTTGGAAGTTCCACAAATCTCTAGGGCAGGGGAAAAATGCCACCAATCTCTTTGCTAAAACATAGCAAGAATCACATTTGCTCTAGTTTCCAACAAGTTTCTCATCTCCATCTGAAACCACCTCAGCCTGAATTTCATTGTCCATATCATTATCAGCATTTTGGTCAAAGGCATTCAACAAGTCTCTGGGAGTTCCAAACTTCCCCACATTTTCCTTTCTTCTTCTGAGTCCTCCAAACTGTTCCAACCTCTGCCTGTTACCCATTTCCAAAGCTGCTTTCTCATTTTCAGGTATCTTTTCAGCAGCACCCACTCCTGCTATGAATTTACTATATTCGTCTGTTTTCACACTGCTGATAAAAACATACCTGAGACTGGGAAGAAAAGAGGTTTAATGGACTTACAGTTCCACGTGGCTGGGGAGGCCTCACAATCATGGCGGAAGGCAAGGGGGAGCAAGTCACATCTTACATGGATGGTGGCAGGCAAAGAGAGAGAACTTGTGCAGGGGAACTCCTCTTTATAAAACCGTCAGATCTCATGAGACTTATTCACTATCATGAGAAGAGCACGGGAAAGTCTTGCTACCATAATTCAATTACCTCTGCCCAGGTCCCTCCTACAATATGTGGGAATTCAAGATGAGATTTTGGAGGGGACACAGCCAAACTACATCATTATGCACAACTTTTATTATCATTTAAGAGAAAAATGGGTCAGCAAACATTTTTTTTCTCTGTTCAGGACGCCCTTTGGGCCATGTGCTGATTTATAGATAGAATGAAATCTTTAACAAGAAGCCTGTTGTGGCAACTCAGGAAGTTTAGGAGGCACTGACCTTGTCAGGGTAAATCAGGACCTTGAGGGATCTTCAGCAGCGATCTCAAACTTTAATGACTATGACAATATCTAGATTGCTTGTGAAAAATACAGGCCAGTGAGTCCACCCCCAAACTTACTAAATTAGAAACTTTGGTTGTTGCCAAGGCAATATTCATCTAGTAAGTGACCCAATTTATGCCTTGGATAGGTATTTGGGTATTAAACTTGTTTATTTATTCATTCTTCATTCAGTAAATATTTATAAAATATCTACTCTACATATTTTTCTACATTGGGATAAATCGGTGAAAAATACAAACAGGACACATACCCTTAAGGATCTACATTCTAGCAGGGGAGACAGGTGACAAAGAGCATAATGAATAAGTTGACTATGCAATAGCCTGGGTAAAGAAAATAACAAGTAGAGCAGAGAATGAGGTAAATATTGAGGATGGTAAATATTAAGGATGGTAAATATTGAGTTAGGGAGTAGAGGGTTGGTAACAAAACCAAGTGAGGTGGTAAGGATTGGGCTCCTTGAAAGTTTTGAAGAGGGTGAGGGAACTAAGCAGATTCCAGGGAGATGGGTCCAAACAGAGCGAGCAGAGTGAAAGCCCTGGCAGGAGTGTGTCTGGCTTGTTGAGCTGAACAATGAGGCCAGGGTGGCTGGAGCTCAGAGTCAGGGGGAGTCAGCATCAGGGGGCCAGTGAGGGGAACCAGGCTGCCTATGGACTTTCAGAACATTGTAAGAAAGTTGTCTTTTACTCTGATTGAAATGAGGAGCCATTACAGTGTTTTGAGCAGAACAATTATGTGATCTGACTTGCTTTTTAAAAGGATTACTCTGCTGCTATGTTGAAAACATTCTGCAGGGAGGCAAGAACAGCAGCGGGGAGACTAGCTAGGAGGCTATTGAAATAATCTGGGGAAAGATAGTGGTCACCCAGAAAGGGACGTAATAGAGAAGGGAGTGAGAAGTGGTCAGATTCTGGTTATATTTTGAAGGAATGGCCACTTTAATTTTCTGATGGATTAGACGCAAGTTCAGAGGAAAAGAGGAATAAAATAGGACTACAAGGTTCTTGGCGGGAGAAACTAAAGTTGCCATCAAGTTTGGAAGAAAGATCAGTTTTAAATATTTTGTGTCTGGGATGTCCACTAGATGGTTGAAGTAGGATCTCAAGAAGATGTTTTGAGTTTAGGAGGCAGATGTGGAATGAAAATGTAAATTTGAGGCATTCCAACACGAAGAGGTTGAGGAGCAGATGAGGAACCAGCCAAGGACCCTGAAAAGGGGCAACCAATGAAGTAGCAGCAAAACTCAAAAATTGCTAACAAGATTGGTTCTATGAGCAAAAGCACCCATTATTAAATAGCATATTCTTTCATTTTTTTTCAGTATTACATAAATATGTGGTAAAATATTATTTTGAATGTCTCTGTAAGGGTGTTTTTTGGGTGAGTTTACATTTAAATTGGTGGACTTTGAGCAAGGTAGATTGCCGTCCATAATGTAAGTGGGCCACATCCAATCAGTTGAAGGCCTGAATAGAATAAGAGATTGCCTCAGAGCAAGAAGAAATTCTGCCAGCAGATGGTTTTCAAACTGGGATGATGACTTTTTCCTGAGTCCTAGCCTGCTTGTCTACCCTGAAGATTTTGGACTTGCCATCTTCCATAATCATGTAAGTAAATTATTTATAATAAGTATTTCTCTAAATGTACACACATCCCGCTGTTTCTGTTTCTCTGGAGAGCCCTGACTAATACATCCTGGAAAGAGGCATTGAAAGCCAGAGAGCCCACCAAGCTCTGCATGTGCTGTATGGGCTTGGGAAACTCCCCCAGCATTTGCCTTTCCCTGTCCACTGCAAACCAGGGATTCCAAAGTGGCTGTCCCAGTGCTCCAAGACTGCTCCTGGAACAAGAACTGTAGCCAGGAGCCAGCGTCCCTACTATCTGCCAAAGCCAGAATGGGAAAAGCTCCCTTACAAATTGGCAAGATCCCCCATGTTATTTAATTTTAGATGAAGCTTCTTAAACATTTAAAAGTTTTTTTATTTATTAATCATTTTGTACTTTGTATGCATCAATAGTTTTGTTTTATATATAGTGAGAGATTCTCTAAATGTTCAAATGAATTCCTGGCAAGTGGAATGACAAATTAAAATGAATAAATAAAGATTTGGCAAGGCACTTCAGAAAGGTCGCCAACCTTGAATGGAGCTTTGATCCCTCTGAGGGTGTTCTTAAGCTTGTAAAGAGAATGAGGCATGGGGAGAACCCTTCCATTTCTCTTCAGTCCAGTTTGGTTTACGCAGAGAATGACAACTGTGACCTCTACCCTGGGCCTCTCCTCTCTCAATGTACCCAGAACTGTGACATGTCCCTGACACAGATCTCACACAACTTTTGGGAGGGATTTATTAGCCTGCAAGTTCGCAAAATCACTTGCTTCCTTGGGAAGCTTCAGCTTCCTCATGTCTAGTTGTCCAGATGATAGGAGAATCATGCTTTCTCTCTCTGTGTTGTCTTAAGTATATTCAAGGCTTTGTTTGGGGGTGTAGAAAAAAAAACATAATCTTCCACATTGAGAAGTATTGCATTTATAAATTCAAAAGTGATTTAAATGAGGGCATAACAATAGCCATACGTAAAAAGAGATAAAGCAAGCAGTAAAGTTGGCTTTCAAAAATTTGTAGAAGACATATTTAAGTTACTCATATTTAAGTTTATTTCAACGACTGTCTCCTGTCACCCGAATAAATTAAGGGAAACACCAACATATCTAGACTTTGGCAGTTCTCAGCTTTTCAGAATAACTGTAAAAATCTAAAACCATAAACATAAAATAGAAGTTTGGAAATAAACACTTCTTTTTTTTCTATCTTAAGGATTTAGCCTTATTTCTAATTTTACTCTCAAAGGTGCTGTATCCCCAGAAGCTAAACAGAAGTAAGTAATCTATTGAGTAGCAGTCAAGTAAAGGGGTGAAGTGCCTGAGGCTTAGAGCTAGCCCCCTGTGGCATGCAATGCCTGTGGTTGGCATTTTGTGTCCTCTGCAGCAGAGATATGGCAATAATTCACACCTTGCTCTAGCGTGTGAATTAAATTCACAGCTCATGCTGGGGGGTGGTCAGGTGCTGAAAATGTTTCCAAATTTCATCTTTTCCTCTTCCTTTTCTTTCTTCCCTCCTTTGCTTTCTTTCTCCTTCTTTCTCTGGTCTTCTCCAGGGACACCAATGGGGGAGACCAGGTTCCTCAGTCCGCCACAAGAGACTAGCAATTTTCAAACTGTTTTCTTTATCAGCTATACACATATATTATTATCATTAGAGTCAATTTCTTCTTCCTATTTGTACACTCCTTCCTTCCCTCACTGCTGATTTATCCCAAAATTTCTGGATAAACTTCTATTAGTTCTGCACTTCAGGTTCATGACTAAACTCCAATCTACATTGAGTCTCAGGGTGGTGGAAATGTGTTAGCAGCTTCTATCGCTCATTTCATTTATGTCCCATTCTCTATCACCAGAGTTGTTGATGTAGTGAAGACAGGGCTCCCTGAGTCTCCTCTTGAGTCCTGAACCCCTGCCCACCCCTTGTCTCTCTCCAAGGCTCTTCCAACCATTCCTTACCCCTTCGTAATCCTTAGCTTCTCACTAAAATCCCTCTTCTGAGGGCTTTGTCTGCTAGTCTAAGTCAGGCCCACCTCAATGCAGAGTGAGTCCAGGAAACGTTGGGAGGGTAAGGGGCTGCTGATGCAGAGGAGAGAGACACTCTGCTGATGCAGAGCGAGCCTTCTAAAAACCAAACAGACTTTGTTCACACTGTGAAAACGTGTGCTTGCAATTTTCTGTACCCATTTATACTAACATGTTTCTATCACTTTCTTCTCTTTCAAGAACACATAAAAAAGCCCTGTTTTACTTTCTTACATTTGCAAGATGTCAACCACCAGGAAAGGGACATTGCTCCAGCTAAAATGGTATAAAAGTTTGCTCAGTCTACATAAATTCTCAGGGAGTTCCTAACATGCTCCCTCCTCAAATTCAGCTTGAGGCTGACAGCTATAGAAACATCCACGTAGAACTCTGGGCACAGGAAAACTTGATTTGCCAGCATCTCTCTGACCATTCTGTACCTGTCTGGAAAGTGGAGGATTCAATGTTTTGGTTTTTTTTTTTTTTTCTTGTATTCAAAGATGAATCTGGCAACACTGAGCTTGCAATTCCTCACGGCAACAATCAGCTAGGGTTCAACAGTGGCTGGGTCTTTAGAGCATGTCATACCAGTTCCCTATGGTTCCCCTGACACCCTATTGTATGACATCAGACCTTTATTACTTGATTACAATTCCCACTAAGCCCCCTGTATGCATTTGGGTTTGCAAGACATAGGATAATGGGCTATATTAATCCTCTACTCAAATTTTGGGTCTCATTAGCCTTCTATCTTTCAGAACTGGAGCCATGACCTCTACACTCTTGGATATCTATTTCTAGGAATAGCATATTAAATTCTGATATCGAGTCCATCTTGTTGTTTCTCATATCACTTCCTGGGGTGGAGAGACCAGGGACCCACCAGGTCCCAGATGGAAGTGTAGTGATGAGCCTCACTTCTTAAATGAAACTGTGTAGGAAATGCCACATTTCCTTTCTGCTGAGGAGTCCCAGCCTGTTTGATTCTTGCCCTGTGTTCCCAGGACTCTGCTGCTTTAGCAGTATGCCTGGGGCGGTGCCCAGGGCCTGGCACACTAAATGTCACTGTGCCATCTGCTCTGAGGCCTGCCATTCCCCAGGTCTCTACCATTGAAGAGATTGCATGTCTCTACTGCTATGGAGCCCTGCTGTCCTTCTTCCCCCTCCCAGTCTCTGAGAAACTGCTCCCCTTCTCCTTTCACGCTTACCCTTATACTTTCACTTTCCTGAGTGCTAAGTTTCATCTGCATGTCTCAGTAGTTTCTCTTTTCTTTACCATTAAGATTTCTGAAGTGCAAAAACAAATATATAATCAATACTGTAGCTTATTTGAAACAAAAGAGGAGAAAAGACCAGAATACACACAAATCAATACATTGATAAAAGGACTAATTGTTTTGGGACTTGTCATCCCAAGATTATTCTTGGTTCTAATCCACGTAGTGGGATGGGGTGCTATGGTGCAGAGGATGAGAGAGGATTTGAACATTTGGCTATTGCTCTGTCACAGATATTTTAGGGAACATTCATGAATTTATGAAAATTTTCTCCATTAAACTGGTATTACTCTGGGAGATGGGTTTCCTGGCTTAGAGAAATACTCTGCATGAAAAATGGCATGTAATATTTGAGAATTAGAACAAGTTTTAGAAGAGAGCAAGGGTATCTAAAGGGTCCACTTTAAGAAAATATAGTTTTTGGAATATGGAGGGGTGAAATTATCCCAACACCAACTGGCCAGCTTTTTTGGGGGACAGTATCTGGAGACTTTCCCTTTCTGAGGTAAGTTGTAAACTGTGAACCCCATCACTGGTAGCATTTACTACTGGCCCTCCCACCTTCCCCTGACTACATGGGCTCATAGGCACACTCACATGCATACACACTAACTCCCTGACATACCATCACCATTTATGTGAGCACGTGCATGTATGTGACCTTACAAATATTTTCTCTGCTGAAAGCAAATACCGAAACTTACCATGAGGGATGTCAAGCACAGATGTAGGTATTTAATATTCCTAGGTTTTACCATTTACAACATAACCTGATAACTGAGTCTTAAGCATTTTATAGGTGGGTCTTTTATGTAGCTTATACTACTCCTCGACCATAACTCTTTTTAGTCTGTGACTTTATTGAACAATTGTGTTCTGATAGCCTCTCTCTCAAGTTAGCAGAGGCTACCAACCTGCTGCTTTGGGCATTCCAAAGTCATTGAGAGTGAAAAACACTAGGCTTGTCACTAAATGATTCACTGGAGTCAGGAGAGTTTCTCTGCCTTTGAGAGGTGCCACATAATTCAAGAAAGCAGAGACTTTGTGTTCACCATTGTTTTTTCCAGTATTAGCACACACTCTGGCAGATGGCAACCTCTTGGCACACGTCTTTTGGGAAATGTTTCTCCTAAATGAATGAGAATTGGACAAACCTGTTCCCCAGTTTTAATGATGAGGTAGAAAGAAGTTTCAAGGATGTGGGGGTAAGTCCAGCCTGGGTAGAAATCCAGGCTCTTTCTCTCTTGCTGGCAAGGAACTTACTCTTCCTGAGCTCAAGTTTCTTGTACTTTCAGGAATATGGTGAGAATTAAATGAAGATCAATTTTTAAGAAGCGATTACCCAAATGTCTTCAGCAAATATATGTTGAATGTGAACTAAATGAACACCTCATGTTTATCCCTTGTTTTCAGGATTAAAGCCAAATTTTTAATTAGTTATCCTTAATGTAAAATATCTAAACTTAAGGAATATTTACTAATTTTGGTGAAGTTTTAGATCTGGTAATAGCATTTGTGAGATATACGCAGAATCATCTGGAACGATGATAATAAAAAACAATAGCATCTACTCTTTATAGACCACTTACCACGTAGCTTGTACTGTGCTAAAGTCTTCTTTGGGGTTATTTCATTTTGCCTTCACAACTACCCTATGAAAAAGGTAAAATCATGTCTTTGCTTTATGGATAAGAAAACTGAGAGGCAGGTTGTCACTACACAATTACGCCTCAGAACTGGCAAATCAATGCTCAAATTCAAGTTTGCCTGACAGTAGGTCCCAAGTTCCCAGGCTTCTTATTTCATTTCACAAAAGCCATCATTCTACAATATAACTCATACTAACAGTTCAAACAAGAAATATTCTGAACACAATGAAACCACACACACAATCTTTTTATTTTTATTTATATTTCTTAGTTCAAGAATTACACACTAGCCAACATTATTATATATTTACATGCTGAAACTGGCTGCAATAAGTTTAAATTCAAGAAAATAATTCTTATGTGCTATTCATTTATAATCCTCATTTTTTACTATCTCATGTATCCCAGAGATTTTAATAGTCCTGTTTTTAGAAAGACATGAAAATAGATGCAATGATATCCACTGTGTTTTGCATTTTTCTAGCCATCGGAAAATGTGCATTATGTGCATATTAAGAAAGGCTACAAGGTAATTAGTAAGGCTGATAATCACTACATTGTGAAGAAACTAGAATATCACTTTTTTTTTTTATAAAAGGACAATTTAGAACTGTGCAGGGACAATATTCGTAACAGAACTATTTAAACACCCATGCAAAATAAATTAAAAATGCTGTGAGGTTTAAATTAAACTATAGGCAACTTTGTTGGGATTAATTATGTTTAAAATGACGATGGTTGAACTCAAATTATTGAACCAAAAACAAAAACAAAAACAAACTGATGGAACTGTCAACTTGCTTCAAATGGCGCAAGGACACACACATGGGCATCAGATTAGAGGATGTGACACGGCAGTGACATTTGGTTTGGGAACTCAAAGGACATACAGTTTTGTTTTTCATCATTTGAATCATATTGATCTTCATCACAAATAAAACTTCTTTAAGCAAATTAAAATTTGATGTCAGAATTTTGAATATATCTACAGAAATATTTTACTTCAATTTCCAAAAACCTAGTAGCTTTTTAAGAGTGCTGCTTTTTTTTTTTTTTTTTGTACAGATTTCTTTAGGGCAGTATCTTCATTAGCATTCTGTTCACTCCTTTCTGGTTTTTACAATGTTCCTAGTGCATTTGGAAAATATTTTTTTAAACCTTTGGTGTGAAGCAGCGTCCTTTTTTTCCCCCATTATCTCATTTTTTTTTTCCTTTTTTGTTTTTCAATAATTCTGGAGTCTTTGGTTGAAAGGAACAATACTACCTAAGGACAAAATACTATTATTAAAAAAAAAGTCTTCTAGTGTATATTGTGTAACACATTTCTGGAGCTGGTAGGAATAACCATTTTTATTTTTCTGTAGTGCCATCTATACAAACTTTTACTGTTTGAAAACTGAGATTTAAGTTGCAAACTTTGGTTTCTTGAACTCTGACATATAAAAAAGTCTATTAAGTTATCAATGATCATTTTTGCTTTTCCCAATTGCCATTTCAAAGGCTATCTCTTGTTTGTTATATTGACTACATAAATAGTAGAGTGTTTCCCATAGACGGGCAGAGAGACAGAGTGGGTGAGCAAAAGATTATGTGTGTTTGAGTGTGTGTGTGTGTGTGTGTGTGACTGTGTGTGACTGTGTGTGTGATAGCAAATTGAAACCCTTCTGTCTGGGATTCCCAAACCATTTATGCAAAAGGGTGTTTAAATTACTCTGCTGGGGGCACTGCAGTAATAGTACTTAGTAAAAAATAAATAAAAATTAAGAAAAAAACTAAACAATTATTTGTATCTATTGACTATTCATTTACAGCATGTTTAATTATTTACATATTATAACACATCAACTTAAGCCATAAACGGAATTAGCACATTGCCTTACCATAAAATACAAATTAGAAGTTAAAAATATTTAAGAAATCTGTTTTAATATTTACACACGTTCAGTGAAAGTTATGGTTGCTCACATTACATGTACTCTGTACATTTAGCCAAATGGCATGATTGCTACAGTTGTGAATACTTAGTATTTTGCCCTAACCAACATGGTGGGGTTTAGTTTTTTTTTTTTCTTCCTCTTTGGAGGAATTTTTATCATTTTTCATTTTCTTAAGACATGTTTGTTTTTGACTCACCAATGGACAATGTTATTTGTTTCCTTGAAAAAGAGAGCAATTAGACAAGCAATGTGACAACTACTTAACTTCTGATGTTCTGGGGTACAGTACTATTGTCGAGTTGAACTGTGCAATGGTTCATAAAAACTGTAGGCATTGATTTGCTGATAGAGAAATGCTCAGTACCCTGTATTACTTATTTCAGTATGTTGATTTTTGTTTGCCAAATTAAAAATACTCATATACTGGTTTAATGAAGGAAATAAAACATATTAGCTTATTCCTTTTGTTTTCCAACATATGAATGCATATATATGTATGTATGTTTATATGAATCTATATATACACATATATACATGTAGATATGTTGTAAGACCTATTTTGATGATGTTGCTTTGCCATTTTTCTTGTTGAGTATGAAGGTAATCATTAAACTGGAACACGGTTACCTATAGAAAATGGAAATTATCTTAGTTGCCAATTTAATGCAAGTCTTGCTTTAAACATGATTCATTTCCCCATTACGCATTCCACTGCTCTTTCTTTATGTGTTGTGCTTTTGTAAGCTGACAGATTTTTTTGTGTGTGTTCCTAATGCTAGAATGTAAAGTCTTTTGGTTCATAAACCATTTTTATTATTATTATTTTACTTAGCACTGCTTTTGAAGAAATGAGAAGAGAAAAGGTCTAGATGGCACTGCTTGAATCTTTTCCCCTGTTAATAAATTGTAGTAGAAAGAATTTTAACATTCCTTATGCAAACACATGATTATGTTGCATGAGTTTTCAACTCTGAAATGCATTTCATACCTACTAGCGGTCATGTACAATATATATATATACAGATTGAGATCAAAGATTTCATGTAGACTGTGCATTTTAGAGTCAGAATTTGTCCATGAATTTCACAAAGATGAAAAAACACCTTAATTGCTGGCTATCTGGCTGTTTATAATTAAAAGAAAATCTATACATATGTATAAACTGATAGTAATCCCATATCAGAACTACTAAACACACCTTTGTGGTCCTTTAGTTTAACAACTGGCTATCAAGCTGACTGGTCTTCCTAGACTTATCAGGTCTAGCACCCCTCCTCGCATTTGATGACTGCATTTCATTTCAACGAAACATATATTTAAGAACAAATTCTACATCTACTGTTATTTCTGGAGAGGCTGAGTCAGTTGTTTCTATCTCTGTGGTTACTGAGTGCCAATGTATGCTTTTTACTCTAGGGCATTGCTTCTAAGGTCCCATCTTTTTTCCTTTGCCTTGTTTCTTGTATCACTGAGAGCAGAAATGAATTCCTGGTTTTATGCTTTTGAGGCTCAAGCTGCAAAGATGCTTCTCTACACTTTGATCTGGATTGTTCTGTTGACTTTCTTGGACATCTAAAATTTTGTTGTAATCATAAATGGCAATATCAAAGATTTTTATGGCTTGTACAGTGATTGCACATAAGAGCCCACTTCTACACTTGGGCTCTGAGTTGACTCTAGAAGAGCCTTTTCAGAATGGCATTTTGGAGTTGTGCCCCTGAGTTATCAATATGTTCCTTCCTGATGTTTTTTAGTCAAACTTTACCCCCTGTTGACAAGGGGCAGGCACTTTACTTAGTGTGATGCCCCAAAATGATTGCCTAGGAGAAAGTGTGTCCTGGAGAAACATGAGGAATCTCTACTCTGAGCCTGTGAGAAGAATCTTGGTCAGATTCTGCCCAAAGATGATACTCAGAGGTGCTCAAGATTATGTAATCAAAATATAATGGCCAAGGTTTCCTACACTGGTGAAAAACAAAATACCATTCCATTTTGGGGCAAATTCAGAAAGCTGAAGGATAAAGGTTTGTTGTTGTTCTTGGACAGCTGGAATGCAAGGGCAATAGTACTCCATCATATTCCAAGCTGCTAAATCATGAAGGAAACAAGGAATCAAGAAAACATACATTATTCACAGGTGGATACTGGCTGCTATGCACAATTAGGGATATTACTCTAAAAAGAAGAGCTTTCTTTGTTTTCAAAATAGAAATAGCAAAGTCATCCTCCAAGAAAAAGTTCAATCAAATTCAACTTTAAGGAAAATTTAGCAATTCACTATTTTCTATAAGAAAAGCAAAATATGAGCCTTATATTGATAGAAGGAAGACATATTAGCTTATTCTCCTCTTGTCCAACATATGAATGCTTATGTCCAATTAGTGTAGAAAGAAGCACAATGGCATAACTTAAAAATAGAAAAAAAATACATCATGCCTGCCTGATTAACAGTTATATATTTTTCTGCAATATCAACTGAGGCTCATAACATTTATCATGTTAATGTGGCTTTGTTATTATTTTCCACTAGTTTTCATATTTTCCTTGATTAGGCAGATTGCAACATATACAATGAAAGCACTCTTAAGAAAATCAAGCCCCAAACCAATGAATGCACAAATTAACTCTCTGTGTGTTCATACTCCTTGAAGTATTATTTGCTTTGAAAAATACAATGGTGAATTTCATTGCATATAAGAAAATATAGTTCACTCAATCTCTCCAAAGCCTTACTTTGCCAGTCTCCTAAGAATATAATCAGAATTTTGGAAGCAAAAAAAAAGCTGGAGAGGACCATGAATCCTTTAAAGTGATGAACAAATCCTTCTCTTGAAATACTCTATTAAATTAAGAAATAAAATTATAGGGACAAAAATTGCAGGGACAGCTGACTTCGTCTGAGAAAAACAATCTGTTTGCTAGTTTGTGCTCTGTATTTGTATATTTGAATGACTCTGAATCTAACCTGAATATCTAAGACAATTCTCATTTCTCTAATTTTTGTATTTCATGGTTATCTTCGATTAAACTATAAAAACCTCTTTAGGTATGCTGTCAAAAGCTAGTGATGTTGGAAAAACAATCTCTCTTACTCACCCTCTGCCACTAGACACAGTATGTATAGACCAGATGCTGTGTGGAGCTGATAAGGGTCATGCTTTCTTGCTTGCTTGCTTTTTGTTACAACCGTCGTTTCTGATTTTCTACTCTGCTCTGTGTTGTTAACTCTTACTTTAACCACCTAGGAAATAGCCGTTTAGCAAAAATTTTCTTGGCCACCATGCATGATATTGTCCAGAAGTCTCCTCATCTCTAAATGCCAAAATGAAAGACATCATAGTTGATTCTCCGTGCTCAAGCAAAGGGACTGGCCAAATCGGTTTCCTGAGTCTCTGTCTTGATTCCCCTAGCCTGCTCAAATCACAAGAGAATCTTTTAGAAACCAGTGGGAATAATCTTCCCATGACACCATTATCATCTCAGTAAGAAAATCATAGATCATCTTCAAGTAATGTGTTTGCATGGCATTACAGATAATGTTTCATAAGGACAATGCCATCTCAACAGCATGCCGACCTTAAAAAGGAAGATGAGGAGTATCTGGTTATGACCAAATGACTGACAATGCTGTTGAGCCTTCTAAGAATATCTTCCAAATTATTCCCCTCTGAGTAGGCTGCATACTAAACAGACAACATGGAGCACTCAGGCTGTCTAGCCACCATGTGTAAAAATCACTTGCGTTTTAACTGGAAAACCACAAGGACCTTAGTGTATTCATTACTTAGCAGAAGCAACCCAAATGGTATGAAATGGACCACAGGATAGGCCAGCAACTAAGGTATTTTAGCGTCACTTTTGTCCTGGATTGATGTGTTTTCCAAGTCCTACATCAGGCTGTACAACTGGTTTGAGGAGGAATCTAGTCCTTGCTTCCAGTGGGAGGCCATGTTTTAGTTCACATAATAAAGCCAATAGACGATGTTGAAGAAGGAAAAAACCACTGGGAAGAATATGCGGGACCACCGATCTATGGCATTCACATCAGTCAAGTCAGGGATGGTGATTTTCAGTTGGGAGGCGCGTCTCCTCAGGCGACTTTTCTTTTGCGCCACATGTCGTTCCAGAGCATTTCGGCCAAAACTATGCCTGGGCAACCCAGCTTTCCGATACTGGATGCTGGAGGCATCATAGGCTAGCATTGTGCTTCTGGGGTCTCCAAGTCCCATCACAGCCTCAGATGTGGCCATTTCATTTTTTATCTCGAGAGTGCTCAGTAAGATGTTCTCATGGGGGTCCATCTGCAAGGGAAGAGAATCAAAAAGACAATCAGAACAATGAAGCTTTACAGGTGCTTACTAGGCAAGGCACTATGATCGGCACTTAAGGGATTTATAGGAGTGGTAAAGAGAGCTACCTTTGCGATTACATTACCAAAGTCTGAATTGAGACTCTACCACTAAAGCTATTTGAGGTTCAGTTTCTCCATTTATTAAATGATATAATAATCCAACCCTAGAGGGTTGCTGTAATGATGTAATTATATAATAGACTGTTGCTAGTATCATTTTCATTAGTTCTACTTAGGGCACGCAGAGAAATCGAAGGCATGGTACCCTTTTGAAGAATTTATAGTCTTGATATGAACACATAAAAATTAAGCTGTGCTAGGCATGCAACAGTGTTAGGAAATTAATTACTGAATTGTGCTCATAATAGTAGCCTAATTATAGATGAATTAATAACAAAACTAGAACTAAAAATAGTGGGTAACTATCAAGTACTTGCCATTTATGTCAGGCATTTTTTTGGATACAATTTCATCTAATTGATGTTTCTTAAAACCCCCAGTTATGAGATGTCACCTTAAATTTGTAATGTCAATACAAATAGGGTAAAGAAATAGTGTTGAAGAATAAAATGCAGGACATATGTGACTTGCCAAAGTAACCACAGTATTCAGAATAAGGAGGAATTCAAAAATAGGAGCATAACAGCCAGATCCACTGTTGGTGGGGAGGGCTGAGAAGAGGAAAGGGAAGAGGGTAGGATTAGAGAGGAAGCAACAAGCCTGCAGCTGACTGTGCTCAACTGAATTCTGGGCCTCAGGAGTACAATTAGTTGGCTATGCAGATAGTCAAATCACCTCTCTTGGATAATTTCTTCTTGCAAAGCTAAAAGCAAAGGATAAATAGATATCATGATTCCCAAACATTAAATTATTACATAATGTTCTTTCTTGTGTTAAGAAGGGAAGATTTGTATGCCTTATTTTTAAGAGGCCTCAACTGCTACAGATAATAAAACCTAGACAGAACAAGTTTTCATTAATAAGAGTATATTTATTTTGGTAGATAATCAAGATATACCAATTACCAGTAAAATTTCTGAAATTATAAGGAAAAAAGATGGCCAGTGATAGGCTCTGATGATATATGGAAACAAGGCATATAACCAAACGCTTAATTGGAAGATACAATGCTCTGAGCTTCATGAATTATGCAGAAAGCAAAAAAGAATGTCATTAAGATTATATATTAACAATTAACTTTCAACTGTGGTTTAATGGCCATGTATTATAAATTCAAATCTAAAATCTTTTGAGAAATAGAAGCTATGAAATATGCTGGGACATAATAATTGACCAATTAATCTCTGCCTACTGATCAGACATTCTGCATGTTTACTTTATGGTATCATTTTGCTTAGAGGAAACACTAAACAAATAGATTATTAAAATGAGTTGTGAAAGTTTATATCATTTGGAAACAAAGCTGAATAAATGTTATAAAAGATCTGCCAAGGAAGGGCCAGGTGGTGGCTTTAATGAGGGCTTCCTTGACCTACAGAAGGAAGGAACATTTAAAGGTTCCTGTTAAGTACCAGTGCTTTGCAGCAACTGATTCATTGAATGCTCACAACATTCCTTGGAAGTGGCATTTTTTCCCAGAGGTTATAGGTGAAGGCCTTCACCAAATTTCTCAAAGCCACATAGTTACTAAATGGTGGAGCTGGAATTCAAATTTTGACTATTATAGTAGAAATGCTGGGAGTGGGGAGTCCTTTCCAACACTTAAGGAAAGTAAACCTGATGGAAATGGGACACCTATCCTTTACTGTTATTTCAACAGCATGGTTGTTTTCTCTTCTTCTCTGGGTTGTTAACTTGCTTTAGTGACTTGGAAAATAACTTAATTTGCAAAATTTCCTTGGCCACCATGCATGATGTTGTTCAGAAATTTCCCTTCTTTAACCACCAGGATATTTGCTTCTCTACTGAGCAATTATAATAAGAAGAGTTATGAGTTGACACCAGACCTGGCTGAGTTCAAACTATAACATAGCAATAATGATCATAATAAAAATTATTGGCAGCTATGGATTCCTATTAAGGGAAATTTGCCTAAAGCTTAAAACAAATTATTTTTGAGTAATTTATTTAATCTTAGTGGGTTTCTGTTTCATTATCCAAATTCAAGAGTTGAATTAGGTAATTCATAAAGTTCTATTAGTTACATAATTTTTTATTCATGAATTAAAAAAAAAATGATTGAACATCCAATGTGTGTTTGGCCCTATGCCAAGCATCACAGGTACAGCGGTGAGAAAGACGGAATTGCTGCTGCATCCTAGTGGGAATAACAATCTCCAAAATAATACTGGGGTTGGAGTCAGAGTCAAAAGATTGTACTTATGGCTCTTCCGTTTGTTATTTTTGACCTGGAAAAATTACCTAATCCTTTCAATCTAGTTTCTTCTGTGGACTAAGAATAGGATTCGGGAAGACTAACTGAAATAAAATATGTGAAGAAAAACTTGGAAAAACTAAAGCACCAGGCAAAGTTGATTATTATGACATGCCATAGATGAAGTTTATTTACTTACTGGTTCCACTGACATGGCAAAAAACAACAAATAATTATACCTAAAAGAAAATTAAGTATGTTGCCCTTGTGGTGTAGATGTATGAGTGATGAAATTTCTATAGGTAAAAATCATCTCAGCCTTACTAGAGATCTTGACAGGCTGAAGTGGGAGGGTGGTAGGGTGGGGAAGGTGAGGTGTATTGAACACCTGTATCAATTTATGAAGTGCAGCTACTCCTTAGTGTCTTTCATATCAACAGAATACTTCAACTTAAAATAGACTGCTTATTTTAATTTTTATTATTTTACATTAAGTTCTGGGACACATGTGCAGAACATGCAGGTTTGTTACATAGGTATAAACGTGCCATGGTGGTTTGCTGCACCCATCAACCAGTCATCTACATTAGGTATTTCTCCTAATGCTATCCCTCCCCTAGTCCCCCACCCCCTGACAGGCCTTGGTGTGTGATGTTCCCTTCCCTGTGTCTATGTGTTCTCATTGTTCAACTCCCACTTATGAGTGAGAACATGTAGTGTTTGGTTTTCTGTTCCTATCTTAATTTGCTGAGAATGATGGTTTCCAGCTTCATCCATGTCCTTGCAAGGGATATGGACTCGTCCTTTTTTATGGCTGTATAGTATTCCATGGTATATACGTGTCACATTTTCTTTATCAAGTCTATCATTGATTGGCATTTGGGTTGGTTCCAATTCTTTGCTATTGTGAATAGTGTTGCAATAAACATATGTGTGCATGTGTCTTTATAGTAGAATGATTTATATTCTTTTGAGTATATACTCGGTAATGGGATTGCTGGGTCAAGCGGTATTTCTGGTTCTAGGTCTTTTAGGAATCGCCACACTGTCTTCCACAATGGTTGAACTAATTTACACTCCCACTAACAGTGTAAAAGTGTTCCTATTTCTCCACATCCTCTCCAGCATCTGTTGTTTCCTGACTTTTTAATGATTGCCATTCTAACTGGCCTGAGATGGTATCTCATTGTGGTTTTGATTTGCATTTCTCTAATGACCAGTGATGATGAGCTTTTTTTCACGTTTGTTGGCCACATAAATGTCTTCTTTTGGGAAGCGTCTGTTCATATCCTTCATCCACATTTTGATGGGGTTGTTTTTCTCTTGTTAATTTGTTTAAGTTCCTTATAGATTCTGGATATTAGCCCATTGTCAGATGAATAGATTCCAAACACTTTCTCCCATTCTGTAGGTTGCCTGTTCACTCTGATGATCATTTCTTTTGCTGTGCAGAAGCTCTTTAGTTTAATTAGATCCCATTTGTCAATTTTGGCTTTTGTTGCCATTACTTTTGGCATTTTAATCATGAAATCTTTGCCCGTGCCTATATTATTTACTTTATTTCTGTCTTCCCCACCATACTATACTTCTTGATGAAGAGAGACACAAAATCTGTCTCACTCATTATTCCATTCCCAAACTTCTGGCATGGCACCTGGCACATAGCAGATGCTCAATAAGTAAATATTTATTAATGGAATTAATTTTGTGAACTCTTAGTAACTCACTTCACCTCTTTGTGAGTCATCAATAAGATGGGTTTAACTTTGCAACACCAGCCTAAAGACTGGAACTTCTGGGACCACCTCTTGAGTTTCTTCCCTGCTCTAAGGCTTCTGCCTTTATTTATACAGGTCTCTTGCTAGAGCAGCATGCTCAAGTACCTGAGATCTGTAAACTGTTATTTTCCATAGTGCTACTTCCATATCAGATGCCCCTTTTTAACCCTAGAGAAAGGAACTTTGTGAGTACAATTAGAAGCCATAACTAACCATTTTACATATTGACCTCTTTCAGTTATCCCAGTATCCCTGTGGGGCAGGCACTGATCTCATGTGTGGAAAATAAGACACAGAGAGGTTAAGACACTTAATACAAGTTTATGTACTGAATAGGTGGCAGAGCAAGAAGGAGAACTGGCTATTTTTATGCTTTTTCATACTGAGGCATGGCAGCCACCCAGATAATCCCTGCAGCATTCCATGGCTCATAAAATAAGGCACTCTCAGTGCATGGTAGGGGCAGTCAACTGGA
This sequence comes from Homo sapiens, assembly GCF_000001405.40. Classification (NCBI taxonomy): domain Eukaryota; kingdom Metazoa; phylum Chordata; class Mammalia; order Primates; family Hominidae; genus Homo; species Homo sapiens. The sequence continues at coordinate 161,299,067 of NC_000005.10, forward strand.
GGGGCAGGGTAGGCTTGCAAAATTTTCCTTAATGAAGGATGGATAAGAATGTCTACAGTTAAATATGTCACTAAATTTCAGAGTCCTGCTAACTGCAGCACTTGCAAGTAAAGAGAATAGACATCTGTGCTTTGCCTGTTCATCAAGCACCACGCACTCCCATTTCTGTATGGGAAACCACCACTTCCCCATTCTCAGTTACTATGTCTCTGCTGTGGGTGTAGGCCAATCAGAGCCATTCTGACACCATAATTGACTCAGCGTTGGGCTCATGCCTTTTCTGAGCCAATGGCATGCCGTGAGTCTTCAGATGGGAATAGCAGAGTAGACTCTCAAATTTTCTCCCTGGATCTGCACCTAGAAGTGAGTGGCCCCAAATCAACAGAATCTGCTGAGATGGTTCAACTGTAAGAGGAGATGCTAATTTGGAAAGAAGCCAACACTAAAATGAAGAGTCTGTGATCTAATGGTGCCTTGTGTCTATATCTGGACATATCTGACTTGCTGATGCTAAGCAAGACAGTATATTATCTTCCTTCCTTCCCCTGTCCCTTCCTCTTTCTTTCTCTCCCTCTTTCCCTCTTCCTCCTCTTCCTCCTTCTTATTCCTCTTTCTCACCTGCTCCCTTCTCTCTTTCTTTCTTAAGCCAGTATTACTTTGTTTTTCTGTTATTTGCATTCCAAAGAATCCTAACAGATTCATCTCATTTAAAGATCTCATTTAATTCATCTCATTTAAAGATCTCAACAACTCTATAAGACAGTATAGGTAGGGCAGGATGGAAATTAGAGGCATTTAATTTATAACAAAAATTTGCAAAACTCAAATTTTCTTATAACTAGGAAAATCTATTACAATAATACCATCTTCAGTATGCAGAACAGTGTTGGGTTTCAATATTTTAGGCTAGGACCTAAAGAACATAGGTGCTGCTAAATTTTAGTGGCTGACTGCTAAACTGGCATCATTTCCCTTTCTTTTCCTTGTCTTGTTTATTGTTCTTCTTTTCACTTCACAAGGTGTGAGATGTGTTGGGAGCAAAATTACAAGGTCAAGAGCAAAAGTATAGGAGATTGACAGGACCTTTTACATGTGTTTTAAAGGGTAAAAGTGGAGAAAGCCTGCACGTAAACTACCCGTAAGTTTATTGAATTTTAATCTCTTTTACTGTTTATATAAAAGAAAAAATGACTTTACAAATCTAGATGTTAAATTCAATAGCAATTATCATTCCTTTTTCTCCTTTGAAATATCTGTTTTCATAAGGTACTTTCTATTTTTAATTTTTACTTTTTTGGAGGCCTACTACACCACAGCAGAACAGCAGCAGAACAGGATACATTCCCATTTGACAGGGCAGGAAACTGAAGTTCAGAAAAATGAACTGAATTACCCAAAATCTTATGACAAATAAGTCATAGAACATTTTAACAATTCTGGGTTGTTGATGTTTATCTTAATCCAGTAATATTCCATGTTGCCTCTAGCCTGTCTTAAAATCAACCAGGGAAACCTGACTCAGGTAGTGGTTTGGTGAGGGATAGTCTATTTCAGTGCTTCCCACACTTGAATGCATATCAGACTACTCTGGAGGCCTTGTTAAAACAGGTCTGGTCTCCACTCCCAGGACTCCTAAGTGAGTAAATCTGGAATGAATCTCAGTAATCTGCATTTCTAACAAGTTCCCAGGTGATGCTGGGATGCTGGCTTGGTGTCCACACTTGGAAAACTGCTAGTCTATTGGACAGAACGACTTCAAATAAAGGAGTAGCAGAGGCCAGAGAAGTAATACACAAGCTGGAGACTGACCACAGTCCACACCACCAAGCTGAAAAACAGCTTTCATAGACAGAGAACAACATATGCAGCTTCCATTTATTGAGTATTTACTGGAGGCAGGCATTGCATTAAAGGTTTTACACAACTATCCTATTTAATGTTGATCTTGAAAGCCCTATAAACAGGATTATTAATATTCCAATTCTAAAAATGAGGAAATTGAGAATTAGGGATAGTTAGCAATTGGCCCGGAGTTACACAGTAAGCAATGGAGCTGGCATTTAACCTGTTTGTTCCAAGGTTTCTGTTCCCAATTACCAAACTATACAACTGCATTCTCAAAACTCTCCTCAATTACGAGTTCTGTCTTGGTGTGCCTTCTCTGTACCAGGCTATATTTAGGGGACTCAATTTTAGCAAATGGAAGACATAATAATGGTCACATGAATTTAGCTAATCCTTAAAATCGAGTTTCCACACCAGCCCTTTTAGACTTGCCCAAATGGATTTCCTGATTATCTTTCTCTTCACTTGAGCAGTGCAGACACAAGAGAAACCACTAAACTTTCTTTCTTTCTTTTTTTTTTTCGATTAGGACATTAAAGAAAGACAATTTCCCTTTAACCAATCAGAAGGACCATGTGGCAATCTCTATTGCCCTGGAAAACATAGAAAAATATTTATCAAATTTTTCTGTCTTGGCATTTTTGCCTATTCAAGGGGCCATGGGAATTTTGTTGTTAGTAGTTGAAACAAGAGGGAGGAAGAAGCAAAAGTAAATGAAACGAGAGGGAGGGAAGAGGTAGACTGGTGAATAAACTGCTATTCTCTGCAGATAAATTGCCTTTACAAGGACCTATGCTGCAGGCCTTGCTTCAGTACAAGGCTCCTTACCATCTGCTTTCTAGTCCAGCTTTAACTCCCAAGTCCATTCCTGACAAGGTTTTTTGGAGAGGCTCTATTAAGCATGCCAATGCCAACAAAGAAGTCTCCTGCTTCCCAGTCCAGCTTTAAATCCCAAGTCCATTCCTGACAAGGTTTTTTGGAGAGGCTCTATCAAGCATGCCGATGCCAACAAAGAAGTCTCCTGCTTCCAATTCAACTATCTATTCTGGAAATCATGCTTTATCTGGAATTATTGTGCTTATCAATCAAGAAACAAGTGCTGAAATTTTAAGATGGACTGATTTATTTGCACTAACATTCCAGAGCCTTCTCCAGATGATCCTCTGTGAATGAGGGCAGTTTGTATAGCAACTGAATCAGCTGTTCTGTTGGTTGAAAAATGGACTTCACTGCGGACTTGAATTATTTTCCAGACTGACCCATGTGATGATGGTTCTAACAACCATCATGTTAAATGTTTTGGATTAAGAAGTTTCCTTTCCCCTCTTTCTGTGTCTATCCTAACATTTTTCATGACAAGAAAAGAAACAGGCTTGGTTAACAGAGTTCCATTTTATTTAAAATATATTGTATTAAACCCTGAAGAGGGGACCTTATTTTTATATAATAATCAGTTAATTCCAAGTTTGGTTTAGGCTTGCTGCTTCCCTTCCTGCAACTTTCTTCATGGTAGGAATATACTCTGGAGAGATGTCCTTGTGATAGTCTATAGTCATATACAGAAAAACAACTCAAATCCCTCAATAACCTAACAACATCACAGGCTTACCTTGCAAAGGGGAAATGGGACTATCTGAAATCCAAGTTCACCAGTCATATCATCAAGAGAAGAGTGAGAAATTGTAAAAATCCAAGAAATCCTAACTGTGAAATTTCCAGTTACTGTGACTTGTGTGTGGGTAGAGGAGATGGTGTTTTATCTTCCATGAAATGGCACTGTGACCCAAGTGACTTGAAATGCTTAAGCAATGGACTGTTAATCCCCTGGGAATATCCAAAGCGCTCTTTCCAAAAATAGCACTCTGAGACTACCTACCATGCACTTAGTGTTTTAAGAGGTCAAAGAAAGTTCACTCAATCAGAATATGAAATGCAAATTCTATGAGAGCAAGGGAGGGCCAACATCTTTGACTCTTCAAATCTCTGTGCTGAAGAAAATGGAGCAATACCAACAAAAATTGGGAGTTTGGAACTGGAAAGTAAACAGGAAATACTGCTAAAATACCCAGGTAGTTTTATGAAAGTAATTTTTAATAAAAAATGGTAGGAATAAAAGAGTGAGAATTCTTTTTACTCTGCCTTTTTAACTTCTATTATGCAATGATAAAGTTAAATCTTACAGCCAGACTATGAGAATGGAGTTAGTACTACCAGCATTTTATAACAGCCCTTCCCATCAAAACACAGAAATTCATGGCTTGTTCGAAGCTAGGTAAGTTGTAAAACAATAATTTAAACTTATGTTTATGGATTCAAACCTATGCTTTTTCTACTAATTGTTTTCAATATATAACGAAAAGATACTTATGAAGTGGACGCTGTTGGCTCTAAGATATGATGCTATCTAGTTGTTGTTGTTTTGATTCTTAAATTTTAAATTGTAATGAGTAAGCCACCTGAATGCCTATCTTCACGTTTCCTTAGTAAACAAAACCTTTGTTAAAGAATCAAATTAATGAATTCATTCTTTATGGATCGGGGACCTATGTCATCTTCTACTTCTGACACAAAATAATTAATCTGATCAAGTGGGTAAATCAAGTGAACATGTATAGCTTTACACTGCTGTTTCAAGTGATGATGGTTTTGCAGGAAGTAAGAGGCAGATATGTGGAGTACAAAGAGAAGAGTAAGATTTTACTCTTCAAAAGATCCCAGAAGATACAGTTAATTAATTAATCTGTATTAATTGCAAGGTGGTGAGAAGACCTTCGAAAGCATGAGCTGCCAAGAGAACTGACACCCCTTTGCCTTATGGTCCTTCTCAAAGGGGTTCCTGCCCCTCTCAAAGCCCACAAACAGAATGAAAATAACACTAACCTCAGAGATGAGCGCAGGTTCTAATCCCATGTTACTGTCTCTGGCCCTCAGTGTTCTTTATTTAGATGGCCTTGTGGAATCTTCTGCTAACTCCCTCCCCCAGTTTCAATCCTCTAACTATAAGTTCAACAAATTCGTGTTTCCTTTATGATGGGAAACATGTGGGCAGGGACTGTGTCTTGTTGCTTAAGTATCCCTAAAGCTGACCATTACCGTTGGTACAAAGTAAGTATTCCAAACAATACTTACTAAATTGAATTACTGAGAGGGCTAGAGTAAGTCTGGGATCACACTTTCAAATAAGGCTAGGGAGGTCATATAAGAACGTGAAGCAGGTGTAGTGGAGATTAGGGAAAAGTTCATCCTGCAATGAACTAGACTAAAACACAAAAGCCCTTCTGAAGGACATTTAAATTCCAAACTTTAAATATTATAGTGGCCCAAATCACATCTTGGTCTAAGGGTTTAGCCCACAGGCTGCTGCATCAAATTCCTTTTCAATTTAATTTATTAAAAATTTGCCTTCCACTTCCATTTAATATAGAATTACCTACTGCCTTTAAAACATGTATGGCATAACAGAGGGATGAAGGTTAAGAAAAATTTGCCTGGCAAAAATCCCATAGTCTTGTAGCTTCCTTGCTGTGATCTTGACCCAGTGCTAGTATTTCTTTTCCACACTGTGTAGGCCTTGCTGTGGCAACTTCTCTAGTAACCCTTTGGATTAGAAATTCTTGAGGAGCCTGCTTAATTTTTTGTGGCTTGGTATCTTCCATTTCTTTTACTCTCACAGCATCAAATTCATTTCTTTTGGAAAATGGTTCCTTTCTATATATCTGTTAATTTATGTGGAATTCATTAAGAATGGTAAATAAACTATAGATCACTGATTTGTTTTTTTTTTTAAAGAATAATATTCAGGTTGAGATAGGAAGATGAATGTTAAATTTTGGGGAGAGAACAGTACATTCGAATTGTTACATTTAATATTATTAAAGCACATTTAATAAAATGCATGATGAATTGAATAATTTCTTTTAGAAGGCTAGAATTATTTCTGGGTGCCTCTTATTATAAAGTACAGGCTACTAGTTTCAATTAAGGTTGAAAGTAGGGATTCATTTTCGTTGTATGGGGAAAAAGATTGGGATCAGATTGAAAACACCTGAAGAAGGAAAAGGGGAAGAAAACTATATTTATGATATATCAATTTTTTTTTTTTTTTTTTTTTTTTTTGAGACGGAGTCTCGCTCTGTCGCCCAGGCCGGACTGCGGACTGCAGTGGCGCAATCTCGGCTCACTGCAAGCTCCGCTTCCCGGGTTCACGCCATTCTCCTGCCTCAGCCTCCCGAGTAGCTGGGACTACAGGCGCCCGCCACCGCGCCCGGCTAATTTTTTGTATTTTTAGTAGAGACGGGGTTTCACCCTGTTAGCCAGGATGGTCTCGATCTCCTGACCTCATGATCCACCCACCTCGGCCTCCCAAAGTGCTGGGACTACAGGCGTGAGCCACCACGCCCGGCCGATATATCAATTTTAATAGACATTTCTTTCATTCAAAGAAGGCATTGGCTTCAAATTATTATGAACCCTCAGGAAGTGCAGAATGAAGTTAAGTTTTGCAATGAGCTTACATAAGCTCCAAATCCTATTTTTGACAAGTTTCAGGGAGGTAGGAATGAGAATCTGCCTACCCAATCCTGATAACTCAAAGAAGTTTTAACACCTGTGAGCTTACATCCTGACAGGTGAAGGCTTGTTCTAGTTTAATTTTCATCTAGCTTATTGACTCAACTCCCAACCTGGAGAGAGATAACTGATCTAATCTTTTCATTAGCTGGTTCACACAACTCAAAAGCATTATGGGTGATGACTTGCTAAAGATTTTTGTACACACCATTTACCTAGTAATTCAAAGTATCCCAATCCACTTTTAAATAACACCACAGAGGACATTTGTTTTGGTTTCTTTCCACAAGACTGGAGACAGTCCAGTCAGTCAACCATTTCTAATGCACAGGAGTAAAGGCAGTGGGGAGAAGAGCCAAATGTTAGGAGAAAAGGAGCTATGTTTTTTTCCCTGGGATTATACATATTGTCAATGATGATGACAGTGCACATCACTAAGAGGGAAAAGGGGTGGCTGACAGCCATACTCCTTTCCCCTTTATAATCTTCCAAAATCTCTGACAGTGAGTAGTAAATGTGAAAGTGGATCATGTTAAGTTTCAAGATTTACTGACAGGTCATGACTGACTTAAAGGTTGTCATCCAAATCTTCCCAGGTCGTTGGAGGACTCATGGTTCTCTCTTGTTCATGGGTTTTGAAACTGACGTCAATCTTGTCTCAAAAAGTAATGAGGATGGGTTTGGACATACAAAACCAGTCACTGCCTCAGTTCCAGGCAAGAGGGAAATTATAACCTGCCTCTAGTTTTCTGTTGGAAGCAGAGAAGCCAAGGTTTGGTTTCTGTCGCCCTGAGGCAAGGCACTAATGTTTGAATCCTTCTAAAAATCTGACAACTTTTTCTCCCTGGAAGATATTGACTGAAAAAGAATTTCTAAGCTCAGAGACTTCACAAACCCCATCTGGACTATAAAAATTTCTACTCAGATGTATAGAGATATTTTTTTCCATATATTCCTACTCCTACCTCCTCTTGTTTTTTATTTATTTGTCCAAGAAGCCAGAAAGCTGACCTAATGCAAACCTTATGGCAGGACTCCCAGTGAACACAGAACAAAAGGTTAACAGAGAAGCAGCAGCCTTCTTTTTCATAGGTGTGTGGGGAACACAGCCAGTGGACTTCGCTTCTACAGATTCCGAGTTACATTTGGTTCTTGAATAGCAGGGGGCATGAGGGTAGTGCCAAAACAGAGATCTTGAACTGAGATGAGTTGGATGGGGAGGGTACATGGAATCTCATGGATTACTGAATCCTGTGAGAAAAAGTTTTGACACACGTTTAATGCTCAACTAGCATTGGATCTAGTAGCTGTGCTTAAAAAAATTAGAAGCACTGAAGGGAACTGACTCAGCACTAATTAATAAAACATGATGTCATCAAAATAACTCAGTGTATGCTGGTAAGCCTGTGCGCACTGTGTCCAGCAAAAGCCAAATACCTAATGCTAAGGGGAGTGTGATTATGGAACAAATGTCTTTATAACAAATATGTATGGCAAATAACTAACTGCAAAAAGCATTTATAAGCTAAAGTCAAATTCTTACTAGCGCATGGTTGATGCTAAATGATGTGCAGCTGTTTGAATAGAACCAAGGGATTTCTAATATTTGCTGCATCATATAATTGAGAGGAGGATGATCCTTCTTCCTCCTTCCTCACCACTACACAGCTCCCATCTTTCAGACCTCAGTTCAAATTCTTTTTTCATGAGGAAGTCTTTCCTGATCTTCCCTTACCTGATCAGGCGCCCCATTATAGCAATGTAGGCACTTCCTTCACTGCTCTTATTTCCATTTATAATTATATATTACTTCTAAAGGAATTTGTTTAACCTCTGTCTTCACATTAGAATGTGGTCACTGCGAGGGCAAGGCACATATTTGGTAAGGACTCAATAAATATCTGCTGAAATAATAATATAAAATCACATTTTGTAGATGGTCTTTTGAAAGTAGCATCCTGAATTCCAGTGTAGATAAGACCATTTATACAGTTTCTTAAGTGTTGAGGACATGAGGTTTGGAATCAGCTTTGAATGCTAGCTCCTCTGCTGATTAGCTATGTGAGCTTGGGCATGTTCCATTGCTTAGTTGAGCCTTCGTTTCTTCATCTTTCAAATGAAGTTCTATGACCTAATCTTAAAATGAGCAATGGTATTTGTAGGGATGTTTTAAGACTGAGAAAAAAATCATATTCTTTTTGGTGAGATAAGATAGTTATGGAGCCTACCCTCATGTCTGACATACATGGGGGTAGGTGTTAGATGTTTTGTTAGACGTGTAACAAAAGGTACCCATTGCTATGGATACTTGCAACTTTAAACTTCTCTACCTGAGAGAGAATATATAAATTCATTGATTTATATAGGCAGATAAGACTAATTCTTTTTTTTTTTTTTTGACCGAGTCTCGCTCTGTTGCCCAGGCTGGAGTGCAGTGGAGCAATCTTGGCTCACTGCAAGCTCCGCCTCCTGGGTTCATGCCATTCTCCTGCCTCAGCCTCCTGAGTAGCTGGGACTACAGGCGCCCACCACCACACCCGGCTAATTTTTTTTTGTATTTTTAGTAGAGATGGGGTTTCACCATGTTGGCCAGGATGGTCTCGATCTCCTGACCTCGTGATCTGCCCGCCTCGGCCTCACAAAGTGCTGGGATTACAGGCGTGAGCCACCATGCCCAGCTGACTAATTCTTTATATTTTCTCTCTAGCTTCTCACAGTGGATGTTGTAGTTAAATCAATCCCATCCATTGTGACAATAGTTGAGACTGACCCCCTGTTTAGGTGTAGGCCTGATTGTTTTAAGTCAGTCTTGGTACCTCCCCTCCCTTGCCAAAGATTGGTTCAGGAATGGGAAGGACTACATCAATTGAGCCAATGAAATGAAAAGAGAAAAACATTCCATGCTAATGGATAGGAAGAATCAATATCATTAAAATGGCCATACTGCCCATAAGCAACTTACAGATTCAATACTATGCATATTAAACTATCATGGATATTCTTCTCAGAACTAGAAAAAACTATCCATATAGAACCAAATTCCTAAAGTACCAAAAAGGAGCCCAAATAGCCAAGGCAATCATAAGCAAAAAGGACAAAGCTGGAGGCATCACTCTACCCGACTTCAAATTATGCTGTAGGGCTACAGTAATCAAAACAGCATGGTACTGGTACAAGAACAGACACATATACCAATGGAGCAGAATAGAGGACCCAGAAATAAGACCACACATCTACAACTATCTGATCTTCTACAAACCTGACAAAAACAAGCAATGGGGAAAGGAATCCTATTCAATAAATGTTGCTAGGATAACTGGCTAGCCATATGCAGATGATTGAAACTGAACACCTTCCTTACACTATGTACAAAAATTAACTCAAGACAGATTAAAGACTTAAATGTAAAACCTAAAATGATAAAAACCCAGAAAACAACCTAGGCAATACAATTCAGGACATAGACACAGTCAAAGACTTCATGATGAAGACACCAAAAGCAGTAACAACAACAGAAAGATTGACAAATGAGGTGTGATTAAACTAAAGAGCTCCTGCACGGCAAACAAAACTATCAACAGAGTAAACAACTTACAGAATGAGAGAACATTTTTGCAAACAATGCATCTGGCAAGGGTTTAATATCCAGCATCTATAAGAAACTTAAGCAAATTTACAAGACAAAAATAAACAACTCTATCAAAAAGTGGACAAAGTACACGAACAGACACTTTTCAAAAGAAGACACACATATGGCCAATAATCATATGAAAAAAAGCTTTACATCACTGATTATTGGAGAAATGCAAATCAAAACCACAATGAGATACCATCTCACACCAGTCAGAATGGTTATTATTAAAAAGTCAAAAAACAACAAATGCTGATGAAGTTGTGGAGAAAAAGGGATGCTTATACACTGTTGAAAGGAGTGTAAATTAGTTCAACCATTGTGGGAGACAGTGTGGCGATTTCCCAGAGACCTAAAGACAGAAATATCACTTGACCCAGCAATCCTATTACTGGGTATATACCCAAATGAGTGTAATTTTTTATATTATAAAGACACATGCACATGCATGTTAATTGTAGCACTATTCACAATAGCAAAGACATGAAATCAACCTAAATGCCCATCAGTGATAGACTAAATTTTTTTTTTTTTTTTGAGATGGAGTCTCGCTCTGTTGCTCAGGCTGGAGTGCAGTGGCGTGATCTCGGCTCACTGCAAGCTCCGCCTCCCAGGTTCATGCCATTCTCCTGCCTCAGCCTCCTGAGTAGCTAGGACTACAGGCGCCCGCCACTATGCCCAACTAATTTTTTTGTATTTTTAGTAGAGACGGGGTTTCACCGTGTTAGCCAGGATGGTCTCGATCTCCTGACCTCGTGATCTGCCCATCTCGGCCTCCCAAAGTGCTGGGATTACAGGCTTGAGCCACCGCGCCTGGCCCTAAATTTTTTAAAAAAGTGGTACATATATACTCTGGAATACTATGCAGCTATAAAAAAGAAAAACGTTACATCCTTTGCAGGGACATGGATGGAGCTGGAGGCCATTATCCTTAGCAAACTAATGCAAGAACAGAAAATCAAATGCTACATGTTCTCATTTATAAGTGGTAGCTAAATAATGAGAACACATGGTCACATTGAGGGGAACAACACACACTAGGGCCTTCTAGAGGATGGAGGGTGGGAGAAGGGAGAGGATCAGGAAAAAACTAATGGGTACTAGGCTTAATACCTGAGTGATCAAATAATCTGTACAACAAACCCCCATGACACAAGCTTACCTATGAAACAAACCTGCACGTGTACCCCTGAACTTAAAATAGAAGTTAAAAAATAGAGAAATGAAAGGAAAGTTTTCTTGAAGCCTTTGTATAAAAATAAATCTCCATCTCTCTTAGATATGAATGGAGAAACATGAAGCCTTGTTGCTACTGGAAGCCACCTTATCTCAGAACAAGAAATCATTACCAAGATTTCTGGCTGGCTTGCTTGTTTCTCTCTCTCTCTTTCTTCCCATGCCTATGCATGATTTTTCATAGGCCAGATACATTAAAGATGAGTGGAAAATCAGAAAAGCCTCATTATCACAAACTCAAAATTGCAATCATTTCAGTTAAAATTCAACCTAGGACGATGGCATGGTTTCTTTCGTGTACACACACATGCACACGCACGCGCACGCGCGCACACACACACACACACACACAGATTTTTTAATATCTTTTTCAAAAAATAAAAAACTTCAAAGAAAGTTTAAAGTTATGCTACAGCATTTTTTTTTTTTTTTTGAGATGGAGTCTCGCTCTGTCGCCCAGGCTGGAGTGCAGTGGCGCAATCTCGGCTCACTGCAAGCTCCACCTCCCAAGTTCACGCCGTTCTCCTGCCTCAGCCTCCAGTAGCTGGGATTACAGGCGTCCACCACCACGCCCGGCTAATTTTTTGTATTTTTAGTAGAGACGGGGTTTCACCGTGTTAGCCAAGATGGTCTCGATCTCCTCACCTCGTGATCTGCCCGCCTCGGCCTCCCAAAGTGCTGGGATTACAGGTATGAGCCACCACGCCTGGCCGTTATCCTAAAGCAATTTTAACAAAAATGCCCTCATGTAAGTCCCCTAGGTTTTGTCTAACTGCTTTCATATCTTTGATCTCCTTGCCATCTACACCATTAGAATATATTTGACATACCAGGCATGGACTTCCTCATCTCATGGATAATAAAACTAAAGGTCCTGAGAAATATTTTTCCACAAAGTTGCAGAGCTTTTCAGAGACTTAGCTAGGCTGAGTAACCCTGGCTTCTTGAATTCAAATTGGATTCTATGGCTGCCAATAATAGAACTGAAGAAAGATATTTTAAAACAGCTTCACACGCAATCTGTGATTCAAATGTGCAACTCAGATAGAGAAATCTAGATTTATATTCCAGCTTTATTTAGTCCTAGTTCTACCACTAACTTGGTTATGTGACCCTGAGCAAGTCACTGAAATTTCTGGGTTTCAATTTCTGTACGTAAAAGTGAAAGAGTATCTTCAGGTAGGTTTCCTGTTCTTAAACCTGTGTTAGGCACTGCTAATTGACCAGCTGGTCTCAGACTCAACTACAGAATCCTCAGTGTAGTTCTCAAGGCAGCAACCAAGAGATATTCTGAGTTGGTACTTCAGGTATAACTCATTTACATTTCCTAGGATGGATCTTTGCTATTTAATTTAGTCCACAGATCAGCTGCTTTGGCATCTCTGGGAAGTTTTTTAAAAATGCAGAATCTCAAGCCTTACCCTAGACCTACTGAATAAGAATCTGCATTTTCATAAGATCCCTAGGTCATTTTTATGCATGTTAAAGATGAAGAAGCACGGGGCTAGATAATATCTTAGATCCCTTAAAGTTATAAAAGTCAATGACTATAGGATTTATAAAACAGGTGTTACAGGGAAGAATTTTCCAAGAACCTTGGTTACCTCTCCAAGTCTGCTAAATGGTCTTCATCTATTTGGTAAAGGGTAGAAGAGTTAATCAGTAATGTTTTGTGTGTGTGTGTGTGTGTGTGTGTGCTCCCCTTTCAGAATGCTAAATCAATCTCAACCAAGGTACTGACTAAACCCTCAGGGGAGTCTAAGATGTAGAGGGAACTATGAATTCACCTCACCCAGGGATGCCTTGTGCAGCTGCAGTCTGATGGCTTCTGTGCATTTGGCCAATTACACAGTGAATTACCCCAGTGAGTATTCGTCAAATGCACCATCCGCTCTCACTCCTCAACTCCCTTGTTAGAATTCTTGTTAATTTGACACAGCCTTGTCAAATATCTCTCTCTTTCATTCTAACACCAAATTACCCTTAGCTCTGAGATCTGAAGATGACGGCAGACAGTGAAAGTTGCTAACTTTATAAAACATAAGCTGCAAGTTGAGTTGGGAAATTAAGAAAATTATAAATTTAGAAAGGTAAGAAGGAAGGTCAACCCCAGCTGATAATCTGATGCTTTGCCAAAGAATAAAATCTCAGCTAGATTCTGGGTCAAATATTGAAAACTCTCAAAACAAAACAAAAAATACCTGGATTCAAATCCCAGGTTTGCCACTAACTAGCTGTGTGAATGAATACGTTACTTTTCTCTGGGCCTCAACTTTTTCACGTTAGTAAAATTAGAGCACATCAGTAAAACTGAGAATATATCACCTAGTGAACCAGCAAGATTTAAAGTTTTGTGAGCATCGAGTCGTTTTGGAAATTTGCCGAAATTTGTATTATTAGGCAAACAGAAATTCTGATTCAGCAAATCCAGGGATGAGGGACTTTACATTCTTAGATTGTTGATTCTGATGTTACAGTCTGAGAATGAACCTCTCTATAAAGTGCTGTTATGGGGCAGTGGACGATAAGAGATAACTCAACCAGAGCAGCTCCTGGCTTTATGTAAGCTCTTGGTAAACACTAGCTTCTGAAAGACATCATTAGCAGTCCAGATAGTGGAAGTGGCTTGCTCGATTTTACACTGTGGGTAGGAGAAGGGATAGAACCTTTTCTACTGCACCGGAATGGTTTCCTTTGTGCTAGCATTTCTCAGATCAGCTTTGTTGGAACAATGCCAGGGACTGAGGAAGGATGCAGGTCAAGCTGTTATGTCCTGTGAAGTCAAGGAATGAGAAGCAGTGCTGCAGAATGAGCCCGCGATACTGGAGGCCTGGAATAGAGTCTCGTGTTTGTTATATAACTGCTCTGTGACCTTAGACTAGTAACTCCCTCCTCTAGGTATCAGTCTTTTCATTTACAAAATGATAGAATCCTTTAAACCTCTTTCCAGGGTTAAATTACTGTAATTCTATGGTAGACACATACATTCTGGTTGGACTGAGCAGCTCTTTGCGCCCCTCCCCACTACGTTTTTTTCAGATGGAATGTACCTTTTACTGTGTGAATCTTTTCCTCAACATGCATCTGAAGAAAACACCTCCGTCCTCTGAAACTCAGCAGCATGTATTATCTGTACCATAGACTATTCATTCTGATTAATGATTCAAAAAACACCACCACCGAGACAGTGGACTGACTGCCGTTAGACTGAGAGAGCCAATGCTACTGAATTTAGAAATAGATCTTAGGAAAATGGGAAAAGTCAGAGTTCTGCCCTTGTGATCACTTTCCTGGTAGATATCAACTTCAAAGTTACCACCTTCCAAATGGCAGCTGCTGTTCCAAGCACTTCCCCTGTGCTTCTTCATGTGATCCTTAAGACATGTTTCCAGGGTGGGACTGTAAGCCCCATTTTACAAATGAGGGAACTGGTGCTCTGAGCGCTTTCCTATCCTCACATAGTGATTAAGGGACAGTCTTGGGGCTTGGATTCTGGGCTTTCTCCAATCTATAATCGAGTAGGTTTGATTATGTTCAGGACTGCCCGTGCTCTTAACTGTTGGCTTGGTCTCCAAGAGGATTAGTTTAATAAATATTTGCTGATCAACACATTGGTGATGTGCCTCCCAAACTTTGTGAGAAAAGTTTCGTGTTATACTGCAGCTGGCTGCATCAGGGTAGCAATGTGAAGCTGAAAGGCTCTCACGGGAATGCAGCCCATGTCTGTGGCTTCAGAGACCAACATTTTCCACTAAACAACTGAAGTCAACAATCCTGGATCACGGGCTAAGGAAATCTGAAATCCTCTGTCACATGTGAGGACTCACTATTACAGTGTGCTTTCAAGGTGGCAGCTGGGGTTAGCAGGCTTGCCCTCTCATGACTCATAGATGCTTAACCTGAACCCTCTTTAGGGAGCCACAGTAGGTACCCTCTGACTCAAGGCAGCATGCCTGCTTTAGTGCCCTTGAAACCGGTCCAACTTCCAGAAATTTTCTGCAGTAGAAGCTAGCAGAAGTGTTGAGAGGCAAAGAGACAGCTTGTTTATTGCTGAGGGAGATTTCAGGATTATGTCAGGTCCATTTTTGTTATGTCTCCCTAGGTGCCCTTTGCCAAAACTAAGTAAGCATCAAGTAATCCTGCAAACCTCTTCTCAGCAGAGGCCATAAAAAGTTCCTAATTTCTATAGGAGCACAAGACTTGCTGGAGGTATTGTACTTGTTTTATTTTGACAAAATAATTGAATATAATAATAAAATGGTAATAAAAAATTAATGCCAGCCCTTGATTCCCAAAGCTGTTCATGGAAAACAGTTTCTCTCTCTCTCTTTCTCTCTCCCCCCTCTTTCTGCCATCTCCCTTCCTTCCTCCCTTTGTTCTTTCCCTCCCTCCTTCCTTCCTTCCTTTTCTTTCAATAAATAGTCCATAATCTTTCCAGAATTTTCCCAGTGAGAACTACTTTCATGATACCAGAATTTCCTAGGATCTGCTATCGATATATTGACTGATAAAAAAGGAAAGAACGAAATAAATTAAATGTTAATAATATATGTAAGTCTCATACTAACTTTGGGGGGCTTTAAAAAGGTAATCTTTGTCTTAAGATTGAAAACTATGGCACATTTTTCCTTAAAGGCTATGTTAATAATCCACTAGAGGTGGATTTGGCTTCTGGTAGTGATCTAGTAATATGGTAGAAGTATGTTAGTATTGTTGTGTTTCAAATTCTAGAATAAAAATTGAGCATAAAAATAGGCAAAATATTACTGCATGCTTTGAAAAAACCACATGGCATTACATATAAACTTTTAAGTGATTTATTATATTTGGTTTAGTGCTGAGCTAGGTATTCTGACAGAATAAATATGTTTACAAAATTTAACTTATTGATTGTGATTCTTATGCTTGGAAGAAACCCAATTGAAAGAAAATTAGTCATAGTTAAGTCTTTCACTCTTTGCAGGGCAGGAGATGTCCAGGTTCACTGAATCAGGTGCGATTTAGAGAGAAACTGACTGCATTAATAAAATACATGGCAGGAAGATTCAAGGGCTTTGGTCCTGGGAGCATGTTTCATCAATGACTTCCTAGGTGTCTTTTTTCATTTTCTCATCTATAAAATGGGGATTATATCTACCTTCTGTATATCTAGTGATTATTGAGATAAATGAAAATGATATCAGGACCCATTATTATTATAATCTAATGTGCCTGACTGCTTGGTTATTTATTACTTTACAACTTAGAAAATATATAATTTGCATTCTAATTTATCCAGTGTAAGAAGCATCTTTTTATGGATTTTTAAATTATTATTTGTTATAGATACATAGTAATTATACATATTTATGGTGTACATGTGATATCTTGGTACATACAATGTGTAATTATCAAGTCAGAGAAATCAACCACCTCAAACATGTATCATTTCCTTGTGTCAAGAACATTTTAGGTCTTCTTGCTATTTTGAAATATACGATAAATCTTTATAGATGCATCATTTTTAGGACAGAAATCACATCCGAAGCACATTAAATTGTTGCTAACACGAGGAATTATTTTATAATATTTCTTTCCATAGACATTTTTCATATTTCCAAAGGGAAACTTGTTAAAGCGAATAGGTTTTAAATAACAGTAAGATGTATACTCTTTGTAAGTGTATATAAATTGTACATTAATTACCACTCATTTGTAGTAGAAATAAATGAAAGTAGGTTTAACTGAAAGGAGGTAATGAGACTGATGAAATGCAGACAAGGAAACAATGAGTATCTTAGAGCTATGTAATTTTGAGGTTACTGGATGAGATCTTGATGATCACATCCTTATTTTTTGACAGAGGTTGACATTTCTGATATCACATATATGGCTCCTCAGAGTTGAGACCTGAAGCCTGAGACTCCTGAACCTCAGTCTGCTGCAGTGAGGTAGATAATTAATTTGTCTTCGTGAAGACCCATATCTGCAGAGCCATGAGCAACACTGCTATAGGTACATCCAAGATTGGAAAAAAAAAATATTAGAGGTGACTTTGTCTAAATGTGTCACTGGAATCTTGACTCTCTGGTGATAGCATTGCAAGAAAGGCGGTCAGCATGGGTTTGCCTACACCCAAGGCAGGGCAGTTACTGTTCAGGCTTAACTATTCTTTCTTTTTGTTTATTTTTACTTTCCTTCCTCCTTTACTTCTTTCCCCTTTTTCTCTTCCTTGTCTTTTTTCCTTTCTTTCTTTGTTTCTCCCTCTTATTTATTCATTCATTCTTTCTTTCTTTTTTGACATAGAGTCTCACTCTGTTGCCCAGGCTGGAGTGCAGTGGTGCAATCTTGGCTCACAGAAAACCACCTCCATCTCCTGGGTTCAAGCGATTCTCCTGCCTCAGCCTCCTGAGTAGCTGGGATTACAGGTGCCTGCCATTATGCCTGGCTAATTTTTGTATTTTTAGCAAAGACAGTGTTTCACCACGTTGTCCAGGCTAGTCTTGAACTCCTAACTTCAGGTGATCCACCTGCCTCGGGCTCCCAAAGTGCTGGGATTACAGCTGTGAGCCCTTTCATTCTTACTTGACAGCGATAATCATTAGAAATCACTAGAAACGTTTAATGTGCTATTTACATGGGGTTGTAATTATCTTGTGTTACTCCAGTTAAAGGCTATATAAATTGGAAAAAGTAGGAATTTTATTTGTGTGTAGTTTGCATGTGTGTGGCAGGTGTGTGTGTGTGCGTGAGAGAGAAAAAAAATGACAACGTAATGAAAAGATCATACTGGCAAGAATATGCACACAGACACACACTCACACGCTTATGTATTTTAAAAGTGATATATACTAGTTGTAACAATTACTCAATATGAGTACAGTGTATGTTATTTGGGTGATGGATAACCCAAAAGCCCTGGCTCGACCATTATTAAATGTATGCATGTAGCAAAATTGCATCTGTGCCCCATAAATTTATACAAATGAAACAAAAACAAAAACAAACACTTTAGAAAGATATAAAGAGAAAAGCAGAAGTGCCCCTACCATCCCGTCCCACTCTCCAAATGTAACCACTGGGGAAAAGGTTCTAAAATAAGTGAATGATGCTTGTGTTACTCATTTTACTTCTGGAAAAATATAAAGTTGATCATTCTTGCACTAACAATAACTCATCGTTCAAGATGCATTAAATGCAAAACATGAAACAATAAATTAACTATTTTAAAAGTCTCAGAAAAATTTAGAAGAGCATATGCTTAACCTAGCATTCCAAGAGGAATTCAGCTATTCCAGAAAACATACAGAGTATAATAGAATAAGTACATGGACAATTTAAAAATTAAAAACTTGTCATAGCATGAATGAGAGTTTGGGGAAAAATATCTGAAATACACATATTAATAAATGTTAATATTTTATTATACCTAGAACTCTTGAAACTGAAAACAAAAAAAGCCCTTAATAAAAATGGGTAAGAATAAGAATAGGCAATTCACAGGGAAGCCAATTCAAACTGTGTATGAATGTATGAAAAAATGCTTAATATTTTAAGAAATATGATAAATACAAGTTAAAATAACAAGATTATACCCATTATAAACTGCAAAGGGAGAGCAACAATCAGTGCTGCTGAAGGGAAAGTGAGAAAGAAGTTCTTATAGATGCATAAATCGTTATATATATGAAAAACTTGCAAAGTACTGCTGGTGTTTTTTTTCTCAGGAAGATTGGGATTCAGAGAGTTTTACTTTCTTATATTTTTGACTATTATGTAAATGAAAGTAACCATGTGCTTTAAAAATGTAATTAGAAAGAAAACAATATGGTCACTGTGAAAGGAAAAGATTTATCTGATAAGATTGGTAAGAGAGAGAGAAAATATATATAGAAATTAAATATTTTTGCAAGGTTAAGAATACTATCATTCTTTTATAGAGTCTGAATTTTCTGCCGTGTTTCATCTAATCCATGTTTATTCAAACATTTATACATGATTTTTTGCCTTTTATGTATTTCTGCCTATTTTTAGAAAAATATTTCAATCTTTGACTTATCTAAAATTTAATTTGGAGAAAGGGGTAGGTTAGATATATGGTATTATATTTAAATACTCCCAAATCATTGCTCACTGTTTATTGAATAATTCACAGATTTCCAATGATATGAAATTATACTTTTATTAAGAACTTAAATTTGTTATGCTCTAAGTTAATTTATGTTTCCTTTACATAGAGAACACTGGGCCAGTGCTATATTGCATTCACTGCTGTGATTTTATCAGTCACTTAAACTTCCAGTACAAAAATTCTTCTCTAAAATTTTTCACTTTCTGGATTCCTCACTTACATACTTTTCTTTCAAATAAACTTTAGAGTTATTGGGTCAAATTTCTACAATAAACCACCAAAGAAATAAAATCAAAAATAAAACCCATTGGTTTCCAATGACATTACACAAAGCTCATAGAATACTTTAGAAAAAACTGATCGCTTATAAATTTTACCTTTAAAAAATACTTTAAAAAAACACAAAGTTTTCTTTTATTAAAATCTTATTACTGTGAAAAGGGCTCTTTTCTTCCCTTCCATTACATTTTTGTTATTGTTTATATATTTTCTATATAGGAAAAAAGCTGTGGGAACTTCCCAAACTTCTCATATTGTTTCTAAGTCTTTTGCAGTTCATTCCCTTAAATTTTGTTTGAATAAATTGTCGTTGTTCCTGTTTAAGAGTAAAATTATTTCTTATCCTTTTCCAATATTCCTTACTTTCCCTAATGTAATTTTATTAGCTGTTTTTTTTTTTTTTAAATAAACAATAGTGGTGATGGCGGGCATCCATTTCTTGTTCTAGCCTGAACTGTTCCATCCTAAGCCAAGAGGCAAGAGTCAGAGTTTTTCATAAGACAGGTAGATAAAGAGAAATAAACACAGAGACCCAGGCAAGGAAGCATTCTTCACTTTCTAATTTCCTAAGAGATTTTAAATTTATAACCAAGAATGAATATTAAATTTTTGTTAATTTTTCTTAATGTCCTTTTTGGTATCTATGGAAAGGCTATAATATAAAAATATATTATATATATTTTATATATTTATTTTATATATATATAAAGTTTTTCACCCTTTCAACTCATCTATATGGAAAATGTTACCCTTATAATTTGAAATAGCACTCTGTGGTTATGAGGTAGTTTGCTTTCTGTATTTTCCTGATTTCAGTTGAAAAATCAATTTCAAAAAAATTTTCCCCACTAATGTTCACCAGTTAAGTGGGTCCATTGTTTCTTTCACATGCTTTTGTTTTTTGAAATATAGTGTTGGTACCTTATTTACGTTATGTGACCATCTAAATCATTTGGAAGTTTTTCCTTCTCTTTGTTATTATTTACAAGAGTTTAAATACCACTAGAGGTATTTGAATTTTCATGTCTGATAGAATTCATTGTTGAAATCTTATGGGCTAGATGCTCTTTTTGAGTGGGAGTTATATTTTTCTGTCAATTTTGTTAAGTTCATCTTTAGTTAATTGGTCGTTTTTCTTTTCTATTTCATCTAGGCTAATTTTTTTTCTAATTCATATTTTCTAAGGACATGATGAATTATATATCCACATTTTCTAAGATCTTTGCATAGTTTTCTTTTAATTTCCCCTTAATGTTTAATTGTTATGCTTTTAAAAATTACTGCTTTGGTATATTCATATTGTCTTCCTCTTTGTTTCCTTAATAGCCTTTTCCTTTATCGATTATGTCTTTATTTTACTTGTGGGTTATTTTGATTTTCTAATTTGTTAATTTATAATTGATCTTGATTATTCCTTCTGCTTTATTTAGGTATTTTGTTGCTGAACTTTTTCTAACTTCTTAAATTGTATGTTTAATTCAGTTTTTAAAATTACTTGCTAGAAAGATGTTTTAAGCTATGGCCATCTCACTGTTAACTAATTTAACCACACAACTGAGGATTAATTATGTAGTATTTAAAATTAGTATTATTTTCTAAATGTTCTTCAATTTAATTTTTATTGTATCTTTGACACACGTGACTTGTACATAAAAGAGTTTATACAAATAGTAAAATTTATAATTATACCACTTAATGTTTCTGTCATTTCCTCCTTTGATTTCCTATCACTTCAATTTATTTGGATGCTCTTTTGATTTAAATTATATGATTCATAATGATTATATCTTTATTTGGGATAGTAATTATGATTATAAAACTATCTCTTGGTTGTGATACTTTTATCTTAAATTCATCTTTATATAGTAATAATGATCAATTCTCAGCTTTCTTCAGATTTGTAATTGCCTCATTTGTTTTTTCCCATGACTTTATTTAGAACATTTTCTAATACCTTTACTTTAGAAATATCTCTATTATAAAGCATTTTGTTGGATTGGTTGCTAGATTCAATCTGAAAATCTTATTCTTTTCATAGATGAGTTGATATATGCTCTACACAGAGAAGCTTGGCCTTAATTTTGTCATCTGAATTTATGCTCTAAATTAGCTTTCCAGTCATCTTTATCTCTATTTCTGACATCAAGATTTAGCTACATCATCTGTATCTTTCTTCATTTCCTTCAGGTTATGAAGGGTTTTTGCAAGATTTATCAGTTTTTACATCTTCTACTATAATGGTCCTCAGGCTGTCATGCTGTAGTGTATACCACAAAAACGTGGGACATAGAAAAATGTAGATTACTAAGCTTTCCCCACTAAAGATTTTGATCTATATTTTCTCAGGTAGAATCTACTTTTAAGCAGATGTCCCAAGTGACTCTAGGTTGGCAATCTATGATAGATCCCTTGAGAAACACTGTCATAATGGTGATCTATGTTATCTATGCTAATTTTATTATTAATCTTTAACTTCTGGATTCATAAACTCTAAAAATAAAAGAGTAAATACTAAGTTCCTGTTATAAATTAGCAAATGAACATCTCCTCTCTCCTCAAAAATACCACTGCATAATTTTAGTTTACATCATAAGATTATTCTGCTGTTTCGCTGTTCTTACACATATTTATTATCCAGCTTTTTAAAATATTTCAATTCCGTTTTATTTGGAAACCTTAACTCCTGGACATGTATAGCTTTAGTTCTACGTGTTATCTTTAGTTCTAAATGCCAGTACACTGGTCTTTCCTGTTCCAAAGTTCCTAACTTTGACGACATTTTACCAGAGGCTAGATTGTTATATTACAATATTATTTCCCACAAATAAGGACTCACAGAAGCTATTCCTTAATACCTTGCAAATTGAGGATAAAGTATCTTTCATTTGTCATTATGTATCAATAGTAATAACTTAGGTTATACTTTCTCCCTCTCAGAAACTTATAAGAACTTTTCCATTGTCTAACGATATTTAATATGCTGTGGAGTATACTGAAACCTAACTTTTTTTTCTCCCTTGTAGGTCATTCACTTTTTCTTAACTGGAAATTGAGTAATTTCAGAGGAATATACTAAGTAGTTAAATATGTTGTATAATTTTTAATCTTGGAACCCATTACATCCTTTTAAACTTGTTATACATACCTGTAAATAAATTAATTAATGTAATTATTTATTAATTTCAAACGGTGCTAATAGGTACAGCAAAATTTTTCCAGGGAACAACCTGGCAATTAGCAGGATTAATTACTTTCATTATATATATGTACAAATACAGAATGTACATCATAGCAGTTAAATATGTAGCTTCTGTAGTCATATTTTCTGTTCAACCACTGCTTAGCTATCTAACATTAAGAAAGTTAATCATGTTCTCCAGGTCTCAGCTCACTACTCAAAAGAATATAGTAATAAAAATATGGGGTAATAATAAAAACTGACATAATATATGTAAATTGTCTAAGCATATAGTAGGTATTCAAGAAAAGTTTATTATGTTATTATTATTATTGTTTTGAGATAGAGTCTCCCTCTTTCACCCAGGCTGGAGAGCAATGGTGCAATCTTGGCGCGCTGCAACCTCCACCTTCGAGGCTCAAACAATTCTCCTGCCTCTGCCTCCCTTGTAGCTGGGACTACAGGCATGTGCCACCATACCCAGATAATTTTTGTACTTTTTCTAGAGACAGGATTTTACCATGTTGCCCAGGCTTGTCTTGAACTCCTGGGATCAAGTGATCTGCCTGCCTCAGTCTCCCAAAGTGCTGGGATCACAAGTGTGAATCACTGTGCCCGGAGAAGAAGTGTTTATTATTATCAGCATTTTTATAATTAGATTCTGACATTAGACTTAAATATTTTTTTCTATTCCATTTTTTTCCATTCTTTACTAACATTAAGGTTCTGCATGGTTAATCCACAGTACCTGTTCTGTATATTTATTATGCTTCCTCTAAAAGATTTTTATCCATACAACTTTTTCCTCTGCATTTGGCATGATTTACTACAGCCTGAACTTTGTGCTACTGCCTTGATTTTTTGGCCAAATTGATTATCTTTCTTACTGTTTTAGATTGGTTTGTTAGTTTCATAAGGATTGCTTTGCCTTCATTTTCTCTCTTTTAATCGCTTCTTGTTTATTATTTTATTTTTGATTTTTGGTTTCACATATTCTTTCAATTTTGGTGAGAAAATATTTTGTTACAGGAAGTTTTAATTTATCTTGAAATATACTTTTTAAATATACTTTTAAAATACTTTTTAATACATTTTTAGTATCTTGAAATATACTTTTTTTTTTTTTTTGAGACGGAGTCTTACTCTGTCATCCAGGCTGGAGTGCAGTGGTGCGATCTCGTCTCACTGCAACCTCCACCCCATGAGTTCAAGCATTCTCCTGCCTCAGACTCTAGTAGCTGGGATTACAGGCGCCCGCCACCACACCCAGCTAATTTTTTGTATCTTTAGCAGAGGCATGGTTTCACCATGTTGGCCAGACTGGTCTAGAACTCCCGACCTCAAGTGATCCGCCCATCTCAGCCTCCCAAAGTGCTGGGATTACAGGCGTGAGCCACCCGCCCAGCCAAAATATACTTTTTTAAAAATATAAGGGTCATTATCTGTCTTTGCATGTTGAGGTCTTCTCCTTGCCTTCCCCATGTGGTGGTTTTCTCGCATAGCTGTCATGCTGTTTCTTTGTTTAGATGCTTCATCTTGATGGAGACATTGCTTCTGGGTTTTCCCTTTATGTTCACTTATAATTTAGGTAGATTTCTTCTGATTCTGCTTGCGCTAATTATGGGATCTGCTTATGCATCTCTGCATCTTTGCAGAGCCTCAGTTTGAGCTGGGTGTTGATAGTTTCTATTTTATTTTTCTATTGACATTTTATTATTGATGGCTTTTGGAAAGAGAGGATAGAGACTAGACATGGGATTTTGGAGTCTACTCTCTCTCCTCTTCTCCAGCACTTATCACAATTGGACCAAGTTAAACATGTTTTCTGTTTCTTCCTCATTTGTGGGAGTGCAAGGTAATTGTGTGCGTATACACTGTGTGTATGTGTTTATATGTATATGTGTGTACTACCACACTCTCAGATGGCTATTAGGTATGTAAACTATCATAGAACCTTTCTAGTGAACAACCTGACTACATATATCACCACTTTAGAGTCATATAACTTTGAACCTAGCAAATCCATTTTAAGAAATATATCAGGAACAATGGTGTGTAAACCTGTCAGCAATGTGATGTTTATTTTATACTTGTTTATAATGGAAAATCACTTAGAAACAATGCAAACATCAAACAATAGGTGCTCATTGAATATATGTTAAATGAATTATGGCATGCACATTCAATTACATATCTTATAGCTATTAGAAATGGTGTATACTTATACTAAAAGATATGAAAAGTTAACTGGGAAATAACTGTATACAGAAGAGTAGAATATGATTTTTATATAAAATATGTCATTAAATGTGAATAAAAGGCAATGTTGATAATGATTATATCTGTGTGGGAGTGTGCAGGTGATTTTCACTATACTTTGTGTAATTTTAAGAATGACCATGAATTTGTTTTGTAATCAGAATAATAGTTATAGAACTAAATAAAATCTGAGAAAGACACACAATCCCTGGCACCATCTCCAGAATAATTACAACTATTATTTGAATGTCCTTTGCTTGGTACTACATAAGGCCGTTGGTATAATTATCTCACTTATTCTTCTCAGCAGTTGTATAAGACAGAAATTAGTAGTTTTAGTTTTCAGTTGAGGAATTAAAGCTTGGAAAGGTTAAACATGTCTAATGTCACACAGCTTATAAATGACAATGCTTGAATATGAACCCAGTTCATATAGCTATAAAATCCACTAATCTTCCCAGTACCTTTTGCAATTGTGACATATATCTTGATGCTCTTATAGGTTATAAGTTTACTAGAAAGCTTGTTATTTGAACTTTCAAATACTAGACCTTATTTCATAGTGTGAACTTAAAAGAGGACTTAAAGGACAGCATAAAGACATAACCAACATAGAAAAGTATAAAAACAAAAGACGTTAGAATTCATATTTCAATGTAGAATTCATATTTTCATTGAACATTTTTGTTAATATGATATTTTATGAGATAGAGGAAGAGGTCTTAACAAATTAGTGTTCAAATCATGGGATAAGAGAGTATTAACGCTTTCAAGCCATCAACTGCACACTTTAATGCACCAATGAGCAAATTTTCAAAAATATCCTCATCATCTGAGGATATCCTGAATTTTCATGTGGTTTTACCCAGTCTTTACAATAATCATGTAGTGTGTTTGATTTTCGTTTTCAGAAATACAGCCTTCTTCAATCATTTTCATCATAAATCCAACTTTCATACATGTTTTCTTCTACATAATTAACAATTGACCCAGAATAATGCCCAATCAAATCAGTCTACTTTAATTTCAACAAGCGTAACTAAAGTTAAAAAATAAGGACAGCAGCAACAACATCAATGAGATAGTCTGAGAGCACAGACATAGTAGGTGATGGAATGTTTAGGGGATTGGAACAAAAAATAGTGATTAACAAAATTTCAAACATCTCTTCCATAATTTAATTATTACTATTTACTAGACTTTATTACTATATAACACAAGTAATGAAGTCAAAAAGTGACAAAATACCAGCACAAAGGAGCAATTCAGTAGCTTATCCATTCTGTCCCCTACCCCAATGGCAACAACAATGATGTATTAAAGATTCTGGAGTCAAAGCCACAAAATTAAGGGATAGCCTGATACTTAGAAGATATAATAATGGAAGCACTTCTGGCATCAAGTCCTCATAGAAAAGATTCACAAATATCCAATATCATTTGCTAAACACTGGAGTTGAACAAGTAGTAGATGATAGGGTGGAATGGTGACAATTATCATTTTCCTCCTTCAATTTGGAGGGCAATATGAATGACAACTTGCCAATTAAGATCACCAACACATGAGGATTCAGAAACTAAACTATGAGTCAAAAATAGGCTTTCTTTAGAGTTCATTTAAGTCAAGAGTTTTGGTAAACAACAATGTCAATTATTGGCTTTTATCTATCATAATAATGATGAGCCTGCCAATACAATACCTATTTGTGAAATAAATAACAAGAAATCAACAAGGACTTGATGCAAGCATAACATTCTTAGACACAAGTTAGTAATGTAGACAAATTTCTGAATTCTCAGCCAACCAACAAAAGAAATGTTTAATTCACCTATTCAATCCAAAGAGTCTGAAAAAAGCAAACACAACAATAAAACTAAGAAATAATGACACTCTTGTCCTCTCAGTACAAATGAAAAGGATTCTCAAAATACGATCCATTTAATTTCTTTCCCTAACACAACAACAATTCCTGAGTGAAACACTGAAGCTTAGGTTCACCAAAGCTATACTGAAAAAGCAAACCTAGGAAAGTCCCACTAAGGTCTCCTGAAAAAGTTTTAACTTATCCCCAAGACTCTGTGGATACATGTTCATAGGTTATCTGCAAAGATCCCACACATTTTTTAAGGGAACAGCTAAACAAATTGGCCCCAACAGAAATACAAATAAATGGATTAAAAACTGGCTATCTAACCGTATACAGAGAGAAATCGTAATTGGTAGTCCGTCTAGTTGGGGAGAGGTTTCCAGTAGGGTCCCACAAGGATCGATATTGGGTCCCATTTTGTTTAATATCTTTATAAAAAATCTGGAAGACAAAGTAGAGAATGTGCTAATTAAGTCGATTGATGCTACTAGATTAGGCCTGATGGTTAAAGTAAATTGGATATAGATAAATGCTACTGGCCTTTAGAAATCCTTTAGATAAAGGCTAACAGAGAATGGGAATTTGAGTAAGTTTTTAAAAAATGTTTTGTTTTAAAAACATCAAATTCCAAGCAGTAGAAATAAATTGATTGAAAATATCTTAGTGGCTTTACATTAGAAAAGATTACACACAATGGATAAAGACAACACAAAGAGTCACAGCACCCATGAATGCAGAATAAAGAACACCCTTAAATGGAGATCTCTGTGGTGCAGCTTTAGTTAGAAAACTGTTGGCTGCAGGTGCATTTGATATGTGCAAATACCACGGTGGTAAAAAGGCAAGAATAACTTGATTCTCAAATATGCGTGTTCTTAGTATTTGGCAGAAAAATAAACAAGGAAACAATATAAAGCTTAAAAGAGAAGTAAGGGGAGTTGAAACTTGAAGCTACGGGCAAGAACAGTGGGTGAAATCAATCAAAAGCAAATTCCATTAGGACACACACACACACACACACACACACACACACACAAACTAGAAGAATGCAAGGGAAAATAGGAAAGACTCTCCTAGCATTAGAATAAAGATCATGTTTAAACTACTCCAAAGGACACTTGGGAAAAAATATTCAGTAGACCTCATGTTGGTTTAAAGTTTATTTTTAAAATCTTAGTACTTTACTACTTAACTTGGCACATGAAGACAACGGTGAAAGTGACACTTGCTTATAAACTTTCATGTGCAGGTAGCTGGGATTTTTCAGGTGAAATCAACTGAGTTGGAATACATAAACTAACATGGAATTAGCTTTTCAGTTTTTGTTTGTTTTTTACTTTTATTTTTTATTTTATTTTATTTTTTTTTGCCAGCACACTTTTATGTACACTGGAGAAGGATAGAAAAATCCATATCAGAACTTTTAAAAGCTTGCTATGTGACCTTGGCTATTTCACCTTCTTTAGGCACATAGGCTTTTACGTCAGTGAAATGACAGGACAGGAATTATTTTAAGAGCTGCAAATTCACTTATTAAAACAAACATTTAAGAGACGCTAATACCAAAAAGAGGCTGAAAAAAATGCGGTAGCATCTGCTGAATCAACACTGGGCTCCCACCTGGGCAGGCTTCCCGTTTTCAACCCTCCCTGACCTCAGGACAGAGCACAGTTCAAAAATCACTTTAGATAATCTGACACACTCCTTCCATCTTTAGGAAATCACCAAAGGAAGGTGAAAAATTTAATCCCACTCCTGATTTTCCCAGAGCAGCCAACAATGCTTAGCTGATTATAAGTGCTTGATCTTGGAAAAAAAAAAATAACTATAGAATTACAGTTGAAAAGAAGGGACATTCTTGATAAGAAATGGGGTGGTATTATTCATGATGCTGACACAAAGGACAGCACCGCATAATCAGGAGCAATGTGGACCTCCTCTAACCTTTCATGCTGGGTGAACAAAGAA
Organism: Homo sapiens; assembly: GCF_000001405.40. Lineage (NCBI taxonomy): Eukaryota > Metazoa > Chordata > Mammalia > Primates > Hominidae > Homo > Homo sapiens. Next base: position 161,328,009 of record NC_000005.10, read on the forward strand.
ATAGTGGGAGTCTGGAAAGCTTGATGGTCAGCATTTTGTTTTAATCTAATCAAAATGGGTTGTAGGTTTTCTGCTCTAAGAAATAATTAATAGAGTTTGATGCAGTTGATTTGCTATAGATTTTATAGCTAATACCCTTTGAAAAATGATTTTCTTGATTTGACTTTAAAACTTCTAACATAAAACATTCCTGTCTAAACAATACACTGCTTTAGGGATGCTACTGCATTCCACATGGTAGAGCATATAGAACACACACGCTAGCATCACCAATAAGTATGGGGACTGCAAATTTTATTTTAAAAAGTAATAATGCCTACCACTTATTATATTTTAATATTTTATTAATATTTATCACTTCCTGAGTGCTTACCATGTATTGAGGACTATATTACCCTCTTTGCACATTATCACAATTATGTTCATGAGTAACTTTATAAGAGAGGAATTAACCCTGTTTCACAGATGAGAAAACTAAAGGGCCAGAGAGGCTAAATTTTTTGTCTACTGTCACCCAGTTGTTAAATGGGAAGGTAAATATTGAACTTGAAAGACTCTAAAATATTTGTTCAGAACCATTGTTCTAAACCATGACTCATGATGTCTTGATTCTTACACATGCTGCTCAAAGAAAATGGAGAAACAACTTTGCTAAAGAATATTTAGACGACAAGGATATTATTTTTTCAGTACCTCAGTTTCTCATGTTTGAAAACAAGAAGTTACAGGGAAGCTATCCTGCACACTGCCAAATGTGTAGCAGCAACCTGGGCCTCTACACACTAGATACCAGTAGTAAACCTCATCCTATAGTTTTTACAATGAAAGATGTCTCCAGACAATGCCTAATGTCCTCTGGGAGAAGAAAATGACCCTGTTTTGAGAACCACTGAAAAATACTAAATAATCTCTGGTATCTTTTTTGTTCTCTCATATTCCATCACTTGAATGGTAGGGTCTACCTTCAACCAAGAGGATAGGCTTTTCACCACTATGGGGTAACTGCCTAGTGAACTTTTCTCTATTTCCGTTTTAGAACTATCTGAAGCTCTGCAGGTTCAGTTTGTATAAAACCTCCTCCCTCTAGGTCTTAACTTTATCATTTAAATGCAAATTGGTATAAAAAATAGGGTAGATGAAAGTGAAGAGATCAGATGTTATCTTATTAAGTCAGCCTTTCATTATGCAATTGATTTAGACTCATTTTGAAGTCCTATGAGATAGCATTATTTGTTTGTTTATTTATTTATTTATTCTCTTCTCTTCTCTAAGACTACTATGTCATGAAAATCAGAAAATAGGTTTAGAAAATACTCTTTCATTTGACAGCCTGAGAGAACCATAATGGTAAATTGTGATTCCAATAAGTAAAACCTTGGGTGTGGGAAAGAATTTGACAATTTCCTAGACCCTTACGGTTTTTTGGTTTCCAAGGGCCATACTTAAAATTTGCATTGTTGCAAATATCATCTTCTAAGCAAGAAGTGCCTTGGATTAGAGAAGAGTCTAAAACCAAATATTAGACCTATGGATATGTGAAAAACATTACTGAGTTAGAAGCTTCCATATGGTTTGCTCCAAATACAACTCAATGGCAGAGATTATTTATACTTTGCTATCCTTGAAATTAATTTGAAGTTAGAAATATCAAAACATCAAGGAAATAATCAGCTTTTGTTATAATTAATAATTCCAAATGGTTTAAGAGGATTGATTAATGTTTTCCTAGTCCCATCATGATGAACTATTTATTGGTCCAATATTAGACACTACTTCATAAACAGTATTTAGGGCAGATATGAAAATAAGACTTTTCTTTGGCTATTGCTAAAGGTCTAAATGTGGCCTCTGGGAAGATACATATACAAGTATTCTGTTAGTGCAGCAAGTGCTATAACAGGAAGCCAGGTGAAGTTTAATATTGAGAGTAAAGAGAGCTGGCTCTACTGGGACTACCATCAAAAACCTTAAAGTGGTGATTCTCAAATTTGGATGCAGATTAGAATAACTTGGGGAACTTTTTAAAATTGTGTTGCCCATGCTTTCTCCAAGAAAATCAAATCAGATTTTCTGGGGAGGGGACCAAGGCTTCAGTATTTTTTTTTAATCTGTTCAGGTCATTCCATTGGCACCCATGATTGAAAACTACTGACTTAACAAATAAACAGGGTTTATAGTTTTGTGGGAATCTTTGACCATGTCTGACTTAAGCAAGATGGTGGCCTCATATAGTCAAATGCTGCAATGATAAGTGGTATATGTGCAAGGCATTGTCATTTAAAGGAGAAAATTATTTGTCTTTTCCCCCTTACTCTTCTTATGTTCTTCTGATCGCTTCAAAGAAAAAGTCTCAGTTTGTTGCTTGGTGGGTCTGTAACACATCTGTATACTTGCTTATCTTTCCTTTAAGTCAAAGAGAATGCAGATTTCAGGGCCAGAGACTTCATCTAGTATAAATTAGAACTTAATGATATAGTTTTTTAAATTTGTTACTTATATATTTGTAAAGCTATTGTCCAGCAAGTAATACTGACTGAAGCAACATTAAATTTCCTTTTTAAATAAATTAGGTGAATAAATTTAAAGAATGCATAAATAATTATAGGTACTATACTCAATATGTGAGAAAGCATCATAAAGGTCTTCTCATGTTTGGTCACTCCTCTTGTTAATGGAAAGGGCATCCAAATCTTGTGTCATGAGTTTGGTCCCTAATTGTGCTTCCATCATTAATTGTTTGTGTGCTTTGGGGAAAATTACCCATTCTCTTCCCTGGGCTTGGTTTCCTCATTTGCTCAACAAGGTCATCAACCTGTATTGCTAGCATTCTTCCATGAGTTTAAGAAGCAAGGAGGGCTTGCCCTCTGAATTTACCTTGTTGACATCCAGGCGCATCTTCTCATTGTTGGCACTGGCAGCCTTCTCAGCTGCTTTCTTTTGGCGTTGGGGCCCCCTCCCAAAGAAGATGTAGTTGACTAGGGCATATTCCAGAAGGGCCATGAAAACGAAGACAAAGCACCCCATCAGGTACATGTCAATGGCCTTCACATAGGGGATTTTAGGGAGAGTTTCCCGGAGGTGGGTGTTGATTGTGGTCATTGTGAGGACAGTTGTGATTCCTGAAAAAAAATGGGAGAGTTAGAGTAATAATGTTCCTATCTCTTTTCTTCTTTCTTAATAGCTGGAAAGGTGATCTATATTCATTTTCTCATTCATATATGCCACAATCTATTTATTGGGCCTTTACTATTGCATGCCAGCCCTAGGATAGGGAATGGATATAGGTATAAATTAGCTTACAGTGATCACTGAACGTTTGATCCCTTCTTTTAATTAAATTTTTGTATTTATAGTTATATATCTAGTGCGGGGTTAAAACGTGAATTAAATGCTATGATGGGCACATGTGTAAGGTAAGAGTTCAGAATATGGAGAGGACTCTAGGTCAACTTTCTGATGTGCCAGGGATGAGGTTAGGAAATAGAGACTTTTGAGCTGATTTCTGAAAAATGAGTGAAAGTCACCCAGGCAACCCAGAACTGGGGGTCAAAAGTCATTTTTGACTTATGGGGACTGCTGGTGGAGAGAGCTTTTATATCAAGGTTGGATTTGGGGGAGAGTACACAGTCCATTACCATGATCTCGGAAAAATCATTGTGGGTACATTGCAAGACAGGATGGGAAGAATCGTGAGAAGACTGGAGGTTAAGGGCCATGCAGAGAGCCTAATGGGGGAGTTTGAACTTAAAATTAAAGGCAATGTGGAGCAGGGGCCAGCTTCAAGCAAGGGGGCAATTTGCATTTAGAACAATCACTGTGGTGACAGTGTGGATGATGGGGAGAAGCAGGCATGGCAGGAGTAAAGAATGCCAGTTGGCCGGGCGCGGTGGCTCACGCTTGTAATCCCAGCACTTTGGGAGGCCGAGGCGGGTGGATCACGAGGTCAGGAGATCGAGACCATCCTGGCTAACACGGTGAAACCCTGTCTCTACTAAAAATACAAAAAAATTAGCCGGGCGTGATGGCGGGCGCCTGTAGTCCCAGCTACTCGGGAGGCTGAGGCAGGAGAATGGCGTGAACCCGGGAGGCGGAGCTTGCAGTGAGCCGAGATTGCGCCACTGCACTCCCGCCTGGGCCACACAGCAAGACTCCGTCTCAAAAAAAAAAAAAAAAAAAAAGAATGCCAGTTAAGAGGTTTTCAGAGTAATCCAACTGAATGATGGAAGTGAAGTCAATTAAAATAACAGCAAGGGTACTGAAATTAAAGAATACATTATACAGGCAATATCAATAAATGATTATAAACATCTGGGAATTTGGAGTGGAGGGTAACAGAGAAGCAGGAATCATAGCCCTCATGTATATGGATCGGACAATTAGGCATATAATGCCTAGATAAATAACACAGATGCATTCTAGGACTGCTTATGGAAAATGTGACACTGGGTCAGGCTGTAATTGTTTGTCCTGTTGAGTTGGTATCTCTTGACAGTGGGAAGTAGTTTCCCTCTAAGCTGTAATCGGAAGGTAAATGCACTGAAAGTCCAAGGTCCTGAATATGATAAAGTCCAGCTTTGTAGCAAAATAGTGATGTGAAAATAGACAAAGCTCAGAGGTCAAGATCACACAGATGGAAAGTTATAGAGTTGCCATTGGAATGAGAATCTTTCTGACTCAGGAATCCAGGCCCTTAAACACTATCCAATAACGCATCCTGAAGGTTAAATTTCATTCCTATGATTTTGGGGGGACACAGTTTTCTGATTTAATTTTATCTCAGTAGTAATAATGTCATAGTTTCTATTTTGTTTTTATACTCCACCAAGAAACAGCTACAGAATAAAAAAATAAATCTGAGCATTTGATTCTGAGCACGCCCATAAAACCTTGGTCTTGCTTTAGATACAGGTATCTTACATTTCTCGTGTCCTCTTTATAGCTGTCATTTTGAGACATTTTCCAGTTTCAATTTTCTCTTCATCATTTCAACTACGGATGATCCTGTATCATACGTATATAATAAAACTGACATTGCTGATTTTACTACTTATCTAAATCTCATTTTAAAGTATTTCTGAAACTAGTAATAAATTGCTCACATAAAGACATTTTAAAAATGTCTTCTAAAAAGTTAATGAATTATTTATTGTTCCTGTAATCGATACAAAAAAGACATGTTTCAACTTTGGAAAAATGGGATATTTGCAAATTTTATTCCTTCTTTCATTCAGCAAATGTTTACTGAGCACCATTCCCCATGCAAGACACTGCAGATATAAAACTAGATATGGACCTTTCCTCCATGGATCTTTCATTGCTGAAGGGGAAAAGGACATCACACCACTAAGAAAACAAAAGTTATAACTGTGGTTAGTCTACACACAGGGGAGGTCTATGGTACTGCAAGTGTATATATCACAGGTGCTTGACTCAGCCTGAGAGGTCATTTCTTCTCCTTCCTCCCATCCTTGAGCCACATAATTTAATTTTAACCCAGTAGCCGAAGTGATCCCTTTAAAACAGAAATCAAATCATGCCACTTTTATGCTCAGTCAATGGCTATTTCATTCAAAATAAAAGCAAAGCCTTTGTCGTGGCCTACCATCCCTTTGTAATAGCCCTTTTGTGATCCTTTAGGCCTCTTTCCCTAACATTATCTTTGCTACTTCCCCTGAACTCACTTGGCCTCATTAGCCTCCTGCTGACACTGTTGGTTTGTTCCTACCCAGGGCCTTTGCAGTCATCTGGAATATTATCACCCAGGTATCCACATTGCTCTCAATCTTCAAGTCTTAGTTCCAATGACAACTTCTGAGTGAAGTCGGCCCTAATTATTCTAAACTGAACTTCTAGCAAACCCATGCCCCCTTGCTTTATATCCCTCTATAGATTTACCACATTGTATAATTTATGTGGTTATTAAATTTATTGTATATCTTTTACTGCTAGATATAACTTTCAGAAGACTGCTCTATCTCCAGTGCTTAGTACAATTAGCATATATTAGGTATTTAACAATTACTTGTTGAATAATAAATGAGTGGCTCTTCTAAGAAAGTAATGATTGAATTGAGATCTAATGGTAAAAGTGAACAATTCAACATTTTAAAGGGAATAGTCAGAATCCATAATAATCAAGATCGTGTAAAAGGCCATAAATTTACTTTATCTGAAGTTAATAACAAAAATGTTCATGAAATGTAATTTATTCTCCTTTTGTGTTTGTTAGAAAAAAACAGCATAAGATGAGAGATGCCACAGATTACTTCTCAATATTCTTACTTTGTTGTCTCCTGCCTTAGTCATGCTACTCTGAAATGTTAACAAGACTTTAGAATTCTTTCTGCTTATCCATTTGCTACACACAACATCTTCTTGTCTTTCATGGAGAAAAAAACGTAGAAGGGAGGTCTTCTTAGGTAAAGAAGCACAGATACAAATTGAACAATTATGCAAGCAATACTATATGAAATATGTTTCAATAAAAATATCAAACTGATGGGACTAATCTCATTATCAACAGATATACGGTTAACTAATACTGACATGAAAGAGCTTTACTTCGTGTTTAATTGATTTAATGCTGAATCAGATCACCCAAAGTCTCATAGCGAAACTCTTACAGTGTGAGAGGTTCAGTTGCGTCATGCACCACAAATTTCAGGATAAGGAAAACGCGTGCATGCGAACACAGAAATGTACACACAGAGTCAAAATCCACAAGCAGTAATAAAATGGCCTACCTAATGCCACCCTTGCAGCTGAAGCATCGTAATTAATCCAGAAGGAGACCCAGGAGAGGATGGTAATCAGGATGGAAGGCATGTATGTTTGCAGGATAAAGTAGCCAATGTTTCTCTTAAGCTTAAAGCTGAGGGATAACCTGGGATAGGAACCTAGAAAGGCAATTTTAGAACATCATCATTATCAATCAATATTTATAGGATACTTTTCTTTAAAGGTGCATAAACAGTACCTCTTCTCTCAGTTCAGTTTTAGCTCTTAGTGAAGGACACTTTCTTCTGCAAAAGTAGTCTGAGAGCCCTGAGTTTCTAATTACCAGGAGTTACTCAGTGTGGAATGCATCCTGTACTCACCAGTAATTAAAAGAATTCCAGCTCTTCCCTACTCAGCCTCATAGAGTGAATCAAACATACCCCTCCTCTGTAATTGTTAGGACAATTTGGGACAGTTCTTTTTTTCATTCTTTCAATTGTTCCTTAGTAAGTTCATCCTGTAAGTTTAATCTTATGTGAGAGTGAGGCTGCATGTTCTGGTCATAGTAAAAGAAAACTCTTCTCAAGACACAGATTGCAGTTTAAGTCTGTGATCAGTGGTGATGTTTCAGGGAATGCAGGTTTTTGTAGGTTTTCACGTATATGCTTCTTTTTTTTAATAGTTTCATTGCTTCCATTGGAGTTCTAAAAGTATACCTTATCAACCAAAAGGTGGAGACCCATTGCATTTGAGCAATATTTGTGGGAGATACAACTAAAGAATCAGCTTCCTAAATCTGGGTTCTTTGATTGGATGACCTGGGCAATTACCCTTTAATAAAACAAGACAAATAACAGAGCACAGTCTTAGACTATAGGAAGTTCACATGATAAGTAGCTTGGAGAGGATATTCTCATTGTTTGGAAGAAAGCCTTGTTTAGTTTTTGGAGGGCTAGGCTAAGTGTCTGAATACGATAGTAAGAATATTCTAAGTAGGAACTCATTTCCATAGATTTTTAGGAATTCAGCGGACCTCAAACTTAGGAAAAGTTTCTGTTTGTCGTTGTTGTTTTAAAGTTAAAGGCATTGTATTTTTATCAAGTCACAGAGCTTTTGCCTGAAGTGGTTTGTAGGCACAAAAAGTATGTGACTTCTTAGCAGAAGGGCCATTACAGTATTAGTTATTTCTGTGCCTGTGGGGTTTATTTCAATAAGAAAAATATAAAGAAGGATATCCCTGTGGGTTTAATATTTTTTGCCTAAATGAGTGTCTAGCAAATGATTGCTTTCCTCAGCTTTATTGCTACAAAAATGCAAAAATTTTGCTGATGAAATAAAGTATGACCATATAAAATCTCCATGCCGTAAGGGTGAAGATGGCAAAGGCCTCGGGATAATCTTAACACCTGAAACAGCTTTTAGCTCACACAGGAGGTGAAACTGTGTAAAGAAATTCTTATCCTTTGAAGAAAATGTGAATTCCTCCCATTGTCTTTGGAGAATTTCACGTGATCAGACTTGAATGAACTGCAACTCGGGTCTCCCAATCATAATCATAATCAAGGGATTATGGTCAATTCTGTGGGATGTATAATGTTATAATGTTGGGGAACAGCTCTGAGCCAGGTCTTTATTTCTCTTCCTGTATTCTTTCTAAAAATTAGTCGCTTCTCTGGCAAATGGGATACACAGAGATGATCCTCTCAGCTCTGCTGGGGTGGCCTCTGGAAAATAATAGTATGGGTCCCGAGTAGAACAATAGACTTCATGGGAAACTGAGGGTTTTCAGTGGATTTGTCTTGTAAAGTCATGGTGCTTCCCTGGGACAGAACTCTAATATAAGTGAACATGTTTAACAAAATACGGTGAAGATTATTTTCCCTTAACACTTTTCCATGATACAAACCTGTGGAAAAAACAACCTTCTTGGTGATAAGTTTGTAATCTACAATAGAGAACTGTGGAAGTTCAATTTTCGTTACTCCTGTTACTGCATTATCATCGCCACGCCAGTAAAACTCAATGTCATCAGTTGTGTATCCATCTGTGAAAGGAAACATACACACACACACACACAAATACAGAAAACAAAAAAAAAAAAACAGACAAAACAGAAAAAAATACCTGTTTAGAAGATGACCTATATAAATAATATAAAGATATAGCTAAAGGCTGTTATGTGTTTGGTATCATACTAAACATTTCAAGTCTATTACTGTATTTAATCCTCATGACGATCTCATTAGGGTAGTATAATTAGGCCCATATTAGACTTACAAAAGCTTAGAGAAATTAACAGCATAGATTCTCTTGCAACTAGGAATAGTATAGTTGGGACTTAATAATAAAATAGGAATAGGTGTAGTTGGGACTTAAACCCAGGTTTACCTGATTAGGAATCCCATTCTATCAAACATTATCACATTATCATATAACATTATCACATAACACTAGTTTTTACTTTATAAGAAGATAAAATAAGAGAACAATAATTTAAACTATTAGTATAATGCTGATTATCAAATTCTCCCCCAATATAAAATATATGAATTACAATACATTTGAATTTCAAGTCAGAAGAGAAGTGATTACGAAGAAGAATCATCTGTTCAATATTCATGTAGTTGATTTTCAAATTTGACTTTGTAGCATATTTAGTTTCAAAGAAAATCTTCCACAGAAAAACTCAAAACAACATTAACTCCAATCACTTTGAGGAGTAGATATAAATGCATAGTGTACACTGGACATGCACAGTGCATTTTGGAGGCATGCTTCCATTCATTCCACAACTATTTATTAAACACCTACTATGCATATCAGGGCACAGTTGCTGGGGATGAGAGTCTATATAACAAAGACATATTCTCTGTTATTAATGATACTCTCAATACACAGGGTGGAGTACAATCTTAAGAAGTGAGCACACATATAATCCTAGCTAGTAAGCAAACATATAACAGCAATGAATAAGCACATATTAGATTGTAAACAGTGCTGTACAGGGAAGTATGCCATAAAATCCAGTGAATATTAATAATATCTTACAAATTCACCCACCCTCCAAAAAAAAACCCAAATAAAAAGCATATGTCACATTCCATGTGAAGAGATATCACATTTATCTTTTCAAAGAACTTTTGCATCTGGATAGTTGATGTTCACAAGTCTGGGAGACAGGCAAGGTGGACATTGCTCTGCCATTTCCAAAAACAACCCAATAAATTTAAAAGACTGCTTAAATTCTTTGCCTTTTGACATGTGACTAGTCAGTGTGACAGAGATGACAAGAATACCAATCCTTGAATCTTAGCCCCAGATGATTTTCAACAAACCACTTCTCTTTCCTCCAAAGAGAGGGAGTTCAATCTTTAAAATAAGGTAGAAACAAATTTTTTTTTCAAAGAAGTAGGATACCTTCAATTGGAGAATCTACATCAAACAGCACAGCTCAGGCTGTATGGTTTAGCTTTCCTAGAAATCTACAGTTCCCTTTATTCATAAGAGTAGCCATCTTTATCTGATGCAGAACTACAGTTTTTTGGAAGAGTTATAGAGCATTTGAACTTCTAATACCACAACAGAAGCCCTCCGGATATAGTTAATGATTTTTAAAAGGCTTCTTTACTTGCAAACACCACAAACTATATTGAAATCAAAATTGCAGAGTTTTAACTGATTATACGTCAGCAATATTTTATTAGTATGATCTAACGTAGAGCCATCTGCTTTGCTATAAATTCTTTTTTTACATAACTTTCATTTAAAAGTAAATTTCAGGGCCAGGCACAGTGGCTCATGCCTGTAATCCCAGCACTTTGGGAGGCCAATGCTGGAGGATCACTTGAGGCCAGGAGTTCAAACCATCCTGGGCAACATAGTAAGACCTTGTCTCTATGAAAAAATAATAAAAAATTAGCCAGGCATGGTGGTACATGCTTATAGTCCTATCTACTTGGGAGACTGAGGTGGGAGGATTAAGTTCAGGAATTTGAGGTTGCGGTGAGCTATGATGGCACCACTGCACTCCAGCCTGGGTGACAGAGCTAGACTCTGCCTCTAAAAAATATATAAATAAATACATAAAAGTAAATTTCAGACTCATGATTTCAACATACATTCTAGGTATTAAGTGAATTGAACAGTAGGCAAATTCTCAGAAAAGAGCCCCTCGCTTCTGTATAAAATTTTCTACCCAATCCTGAGACATGAGATGCCTATCCCATAGGATAACTGTACTTTTCCTATGATTTCAACTTTCCTAATATGGTGACAAAATACTCAGTCTGAGGCTCCATGTCAAATGTAATCCAATTTCTTATCAGTTCTTTATCCATATCTCTCAGTTATGAAATCGTTCAGAGACAATGACAATCCTACCTTTGATAAACCAGTTCAAAATAACAAAATGACTACAGCTCCTAGAACTGAACTAAGTACTCAGAAATGCACTGTAAAATTTTTTATTACATAAACATGAAAAAGGTTATTTATGAAAAAAGATGGTAATCATTTCCCATGAAGTTAGTCTAACCAAGATTCTCCTTGGTTTTCCAAGATAGTAACTGGCAGCATGTTATAAAGTAGCAACTGCCATTTATTACGTTAGTTGGTGGTATATACTAAGCACTTTGTTAACTAGACACCAACCCTTTCTACAGACAGCTAAAGCCTCTACTTCAGGGATACTGGGTTTAAGATGCCCAAGAAACCAGTAGAGATTCTTATTTAGCTAATCAGGAATTGGCTTGGGGATCTGATTTTCTTTTTGATAAGCATTCCAGATAATTCTATTGTAGGTGACACATAAAAACACTGAGAACCACTTGTCTAGCAAATGAAAAAGATAATGATAGCAATTAAAATAAATGCTGTTATTTATTGAGTGATGTTATTCATTTTACTAGGAAGTCTATTAAGCACTTCACTTCCATTATCTCATTTAATCTTCACAACAATCATTTTATAGGTGAACAGTATTTATACACATTATTTGAAATAATGAGCCCTGATACTGCAAGTTAGTTACTTTTGTCTTTATCTCATCGTTGAGAAAACTAAGATTCAGAGAGATTAAGGACCTTGCTAAAAATCACACGTCTGGCAAATGATAGAGTAAGGACTTGATGCCATATCTATGTGACTGACCTCAAAGAAAGCATTTTTTTCCCACTGCATTCCCTGCCCCACCATTAGGACATAAAAAATACATGCTATGTTTAAGAAATGTCCATTTTTTTTTACAAAAAAATGCAGCCATCTTCCAAAGAAGAGAAAAGAAAAATGAAACAGTATTTCTTATATAAGGAACTAGGTCTAAACTAATAGAGTATATGTGGTCCTCCAGGTTTCTTTCCTCCTAATCTTCCTCAGTATTTACCTTCTTTTATCCATTGCGATAAATATTATAACAGAAGCTTATCTGTAGGCAGAGGAATGCGAATGTCTATAGCATTTCAACCAGGTTATATAAGAGATGCTGATTAGTTTTCCAACAGCAGAAACATTACTAGGAACTGCAAACTTTTGGCAAAATGACAGTGTTTGCTAGGCAATACCTCGTGTGAAGTAGGCACTCAGTAAACATTATTAAATTAATAAAACAATTATTTAATGCACATGTGACTTTGGGCTGGTGTTGGTTTATATAAATGCTTTCTCCAGATGTTTATATATTGTAAATGATCATGCACTGCATTTTTATTTCTGCCTCTTGCTCTTACCATAGTGCTGGCACACAGTTGGCACTAAATAAACATTTTCTGAGTGAGTAAAGAAACACCCAATAAAGAGAACTCTTTAGAATAATTCAAGGTTCTTCACTATATATTTCTCCCTATGTATTAGTTCATCCTAAGTTACTGCACATCTCTTTGTCTTTTGTTTCTCAACCTGTAAATTGCAACACTAATATAATAATAATGGCCACTTCATAGAGCTGTCAGGCAGAAAAAAAAAAGTAAAATGCTTAGAACAGCATCAGCAGATAATAACAAATATTTCAGTTGATAGTTATTCAAATAAGAATTATTAAAAATAAATGTAAAACATATTTTATGTCCCATTTTGTGGTTATTAAGTGAATACATACAATTTGCACAATGGAAAACATAGCTGTTCAACCACATTTATAGAACTCTCCAACGTTCTGGAAATTGCTAATAAGAAGTTTCAAAGTTATTTTGATGTTTTGGGTTTTGGAATCTGACACAATAAACACCACACTGTATTTACTTCTGGCTACTGCCTGTCTTAGAAAATCCAATCCTCTTGACTTTATTTTAGGCTAACCAAGAATAGAAGATTGCAAATGGAAAGCAAATGTTGCTATTGCATCATTGGTTTCTGAAGACGAAAGAGCAACGAGCTCCATGACAGTTCCAGGGTGGTCAAGTTAAAAGCCAACTCAATATACTATGTAGGATGAGTTTAAAGCAGACCTTGTTTTCTTCTTTTCTTTGGATATTCTCTGGAGGAATATTTAGCAGTCTCTCAAAGTGATTAAAAACTAAAAGAAAACATATGCAAATATATATGACCTGACTTTTACAGCTTTCATAATAATGATGAGTAAAAAAAAAATTAGATTTCTTTAAAAAGATATCAGAAGGAAATGCACTGAAGCACTTCGTTAATGTACTGCAAATTAAACTCATCATTTATATTTTATTCATGGGATTCCAGAAACTGAGTCATTAAATAATTTTGTATTGTTATATCATCAAAAACATAAGACACATAATAATTCAGAGGGCCTATAAATAAACTAAAATACAAATTCACTGGCATTCACCTGAAGAAATTAAAGCAATATGAAATGTTACAAGCCTCTGATCAGGAAAAACAAATATAAAAATCTATAAAATATATATCTATAAGATACGAATGGTAGATACGTTCTCATTGAAACATTGAGAAAAACATGTATTATATGTGATCTAAGAAATAGAAATACCATTTTAAAACATTTACACAATAACTAAATATGATCTCACAACTGTGACATTATCTGATTATATAACATGGCATTTTAAAAAGTTATTTTCTCTCTTTACTGTCAATCTATATATTTTGTTATCTACTAAGTCAATATTTCATTTTAGAATTGTTTTACTGTGCAAAAAATCTGAACCTGTGCCAAGATATTAAACAGCAGGAACCAATGAGAACATTTAGAAGAGGTGAATTAATGCCACTATTTATTTTTTCTTTTATATATATATATATATATATATATATATATACATACTTTATTATTATTTTTTCTAGTGGGAAATTAAGGTGACTTATTGTTCTCTCATTACTTTTTTAAACTTTGTTTCTCATTTGGATTGGTAAATATTCTAGGATTGTATCCAATATAACAATTGTCACACAGCAGTTTCTTTAATCTGTTAATTTTGTCATCATAACCAATTGGCAATCAATGAGAACTATGGGTCAATGTTATTGCGATAGTTCACACTAGTCATGGTGGTTTCAGTCTTTTAAGAACCATCTCAAAACGTGCATAAATTTAATGTGTACATCACAGCATTTTATGTGTACATCACAGCACTTTTTGAATAAAATACCTCATCATAAAATAATTTAACACATACCCTCCATTTGTATTTAAAATGTTGTATAGTTACTATTATTAGTCTGTAAATAACTATTAGTAAAACTTGATTTCTGTTCTGAGAAACACTAATCTGTAATGTGTTTCATGGAAAAGGGTTATGCAATCAATATATTTGGGAGTAACTACACATTTTGGCTCTCTATTATAGAGTCATAAAACATTTAAAACAGTAGTTTAGGAAAACCTGCAATAAATAATCTGCTTAATTTTACTTACTCCTGGAATATTCCAAATTTATTTAACCATATACATTTTTTAGCATATAAAAATACCCTCCCTGGTATAATCATTCCATAAAATACTGGATTGCAATTATTCACACATTTTAGGGAAGCCATACACAGTGCTATTTATTTATGTCCCCTCAAAAGCCAGGTAAGCACTGGAGAAGACCCACAGTTCCTCAGAACCATATTCTGATTTTTAGTGGGTTAACCATTTTTCCCTCCAAAAATGTTTCCAGGAGAGAAAAAAGTTGCAATAACATAGAGATAGAATTATCTTTTAATGGAGCAAAAGAGACAAATATTTCAGGGAAGCAGCATGATTGAATGTTCAGCCAGAAGGCAAGCATTCTTCTCATGACTAGCTTGAGTGACCATAATTAGAAGTCTGTCAGTCCACCGTTAGAATGAAATCCACTCCATGCAGAGGCCTGTATGCTCTGCACAGGTACAGGACTGAGCGCAGTCAATGCCAATTAGAGTCACTGGGATCTTTCGAGAGGCAGAGACAGATACACACTTCTCAGTCATAACTCTTTCAACTCAATATCGAAAGTGTTCCAAAGACACTCTGAGTGATTGCTCTGACTCCTTAATTGCATCTTATTCTTCACTCTGCTCTTTAGATGAACTGCTAGACACACATTTTTTTTTGCTGTCAAATCATTTCTAGACCTCAAGTAGCTCAAAATAATCGACCTAGGGTAGGTCAGGCTTGATTATCTAGTGGCATCTTAGTAAGGACACCATCAAGTAAGTCATGGTCCAGCATTCATCCTTCATCAGAGATGACCTATTTTTTTTTGTGCATGTTCAGTTTTTTGAATTCAAATCTTACGATGTAGGAGAATAGGAAATCGTTAACAATCAAGTAAAATGTCAGATTGTGGGTTTTAAAGACCATATATCTATTAAAATTCCAATGCAAAACTGTGTATTTGTTGTCTTTGTATGGGAGCAAGGTGATCTGGTGGCTGTTTCTACAAATTTGGCTCCACGATGTGTTTCTTAAATTTTCTTACGTATGTTTAGAGAGACTAAGCAGTTAATCTACTGACACAGGTAAAAGAAAGCAGTTAATAATAATAAACAAAATAGCCACAACAACAACAATAATATATAGCAGCTATCAACTATAGAGCCCTATGTACCAGGCACTGCCTTAAGCTCTTTATAAGGTCCGTCTCTACAGAGAACTGAAGTGTTATCATTATCAGGATTCTTCCCCTTCATCTAACCTTGATTTGTCCATATGCATGGGCTCTAAGTCCTAAAGTAATGTTGACAAGTCAGAAAACCTTTGGCATACAGAGTAGGCCAATGCTTCTTAAGCTAATGTGCACAGAAATCACTTGAAAATCTTGTGAAAATGCAGATTCTGATTTAATAGGTGAAACCCCAGATAGTGAAGTTCTGATAAACTCCCAGGTGATGCTGATGCTTTTTGTCCATGGACCACCCTTAGCATAGCAGGAGATTGGGAGATTTTTAATGAGCATAAGTCATTTGCCATGTGGTAAGTGTCAGGCAAGGAAAATCTTGTATCTAGCCGTATCCAAAGAAGAACAAAATTTTTTCTGAACAAAGGTTTTCATAAGCTCCAGCATTAAAATATTTTTTCCTAGTTCTATTTCCTTTACAAGGAATAGGAGGAAACATTGCTGATGCTGTCTCTATTCAGGGGCCTGGTTTCCTTAAATAGTCTATAACCTACAATCACCAATAGCAGAAAATACAGAGATGGGGCTAGGTCCAAAATTTTTCTGCAAATTTGTAGTCACGCTAGTTTTGTGTAAATATTTTGCCTCATTAGGCTAAGAATACTGCACTCTGGCATTGGATTTCTGCATCTTTTATTCATATTCTTCAACAGACTTGTCAGCAACCTTTTAGGGTTTCCGCCTTCCTCCAATTTATGCTACATATGCTGGTACTATTTGTTTTTTTAAAAAAAAAAGTTGATGGGAAACAACAGATGCTGGTGGGGCTATGGAAAAATAGGGATGCTTTTACACTGATGGTTGGAGTGTAAATTAGATTAACCATTGTGGGAGACAGTGTGGCTATTTCTCAAGGATCTACAACCAGACATACCATTTGATCCAGCAATCCCATTACTGAATATATACCCAAAAATTATTAATCATTCTACTATAAAGACACATGTACGCATATGTTTATTGCAGCACTGTACCCAATAGCAAAGACTTGGAACCAATCCAAATGCCAATCAATGGATAGACTGGAAAAAGAAAATGTGGCACATATACACCATAGAATACTATGCAGCCATAAAAAAGATGAGTTCATGTCCTTTGCAGGGACATGGATGAAGCTGGAAACCATCATTCTGAGCAAACTAACACAGGAACAGAAAACCAAACACCACATGTTCTCACTCATAAGTGGGAGTTGAACAGTGAGAACACATGGACACAGGGAAGGGAACATCACACACAGGGCCCTGTCTGGGGCTGGGGGCTAGGGGAGGGATAGCATTAGGAGAAATACCTGATGTTGATGACCGGTTGATGGGTGCAGCAAACCACCATGGCACGTGTATACCTATCTAACAAATCTGCATGTTCTGCACATGTATCACAGAACTTAAAATATAATTTAGAAAAAGAAAAAAATTTAATCAGTATACTTCATATTTGTGCACTTTGTATCTTATAGCGCAATAAAAATTTTAAAAGATGAAAAAAAGTTGATGATCTATTTCTATGCTTTAAAAACCAAAACAGAATAAAAAAACAAAAACATAGAAAACTCCTTGATGGATTTCCCAGTTGGGGAAGTGAGAATTTCCCACTTCAATTCAACTTCAATGCAAATTCTTCAGGCATTCAAAACTCCATCATTGTGGCTTCTACCTGCAGCCTCATTTTCTATTATTCTTATTCTTTTTTCAAATCTCTCATCTTTTGCTCATACTCTTCAGCAATCCTCAGAACTCCTTTGACCTCAAGGTTCTGGTTCAAGTTATTTCAGTTACTTGAAATATTTTCTCCTTTCACATCAAATTTCTGCACCCTTTAAAGACACATTTCAACTTCCAACTTTCCCAAGACACTATCTTGGTTTCCTTAAGGTGGAATTGTTCTCTCTTTACTCCTCTAATATTTCCACAGCACTCTAGTTGAATTTCTACTAGTGTGGTCCTCACAGCCACTTTTGCATTAGAGGATTTGTGGATGTGTTGGATAGTCTTCCCCTCTAGACTATCTTTCAAGAGGGTGAAGAACCATGTCCGGTCCTTCTCTATAGCTCTTTTCCTTCTTAATACAGGTCTTAATTCAGAGTGGCATTCACACAAGTTTTTCTGAACTGAACTGTCAACTTGCTAATCCTTTTACTTGTGGCTCCTCAGATCCCCCTCTGAGAATATAGTGATGAGCAGATGTCATTCGCAGAATTGCAAGGTAGTCGGATTGCAATCCTAAGCATCATTAGTGGCTTGGAATATGGAATATCCACGCACTTGTGTCAGAGTATCAGAGTCATCAAAAGAAAGGCAATGCTGCCAGTACCTGTTTATAAAAGGTAGCTACCAAGTTAGAGTAAAGGCCTCTGTGTTGAAGGAAACTTCTTGATGTTGCTGACTTTTAATTCGTAATTTCATTCCTAAGTTGAAGAAAAACTTCCTTTGAATGGCCATGACCCTCTGATAATAACTTTCACTGGCCTGATAGATTTTGGAAACCACTCTGCCACAATTTTCTCCAGAAGGAGCTAATACCTACAGCTCAAATGGAATAATGTTCCCTGGCGAAAAGTGGATATAGTCACACAGAAGAGTTTGTTAACTCAAAAGTGATAATGGAAGATGTTTAAATTAACAAGGCCAATTGAATGGTCCAGGTGATATGCACAAATGTGCAATAAAGTGTCAACTGTTACACCAACATATCTGCTTTCTAATAAGAGGTAACAGAGAAAGTAAAGTCCCAGCTGAATGATGTAGGAACTAGTCTGGGTCTCTCCATCTTAACCCATTCTTTTGTACATCTTCACTGGGATGGGGTCAGCTGAAGACTTGCTTATTTAAGGGATTGCAGGCAGGATGCTCCTGAAGATAAACTTTGGGTCTAAAAGAGTTATTAGTCTGTAATATGTACTGTTAGCGTGTATCTTGACTAATAAGACAAATTTTCATACTGTCCCTAAACTCTAGATATGAACCCTTATCTGTGCTATCCTCTCTTAGCACTTAGTACATTTAATTGAAATTATCTGGTAAGGAAATTATCTTTTTTACTCAACTATGAGTTTTTATTTAAACAGAGATCATTCATTCTTTAAATTTGTAACCATGGCTTGGAGCAGAAAGGAGGCAAATATCAGCTATTTAGTACATATTTACTGAGATAGACTGAACTTGTGTTAGAAGAAAGGGCTCATGTAAATAGCAAGAGAGAAACTTCGGAGGTGGACAGCAGGCCTGCTGCTCATGTAGACATATATGCACAGTTAAACATGGCACTGCTATTTTGTCTAGGAGAGTCAGTTCAATGAATTGATCTAGAGCATGAGCTTTTTAAATGGCCACTAGCTAATATTTCTAAAGCATTTCTTGTGTGAAGCCAAGTACTTTACATGCATTGCCTCATCTAATCGTTAATAGAATCCTTTACTGGAGAAACTATTTTTCTCATTTTACAGATGAAGACTGTGCAAGTTAGAAAGGTTAAGTGACTTGTCCAAATGCCAGAAATAAGGATTGAACTCAATCTGCTTTAACACTGAAATTCAGTCCCATAGTCACTACATTTAACACTTGACACTATTATTCAAAGCCATATTTTTGAATAATTTTGTAAAATTACAAAAAAATCTGTAATTATGTACACTCTACTTTGTAATGTGACTTTGCAGCTCCCCGCATGCAGAGGTAGAGTATTTCCCCACGCCTTGAATGTGAGCTGCCCTTGCTACTTGCTTTAATCAAAAACAGTATCCTTGGGCCAGGTCTAAACTTATGCTGCAAACAGGCCTTGGATAGCCTGCAGTATGATGAGGGCCATGTGATTCAGTTACCTTCATCATGGCAGCTAGCCAGACAGTCTTCAGCCCACCTGTGTGAGGACCACAGATGCATATGTGAGCCCAGCTAAAATCATCTGGGCCTGGCTTGGATTGGCAGAACCTCCCAGCTGACCTGCCTTCTGAGTGACAATAAATGTTTTTTGTTTTAATCTACTAGGTTTTGGGTTAGATTAAAAAGTAGCAAAATCTAATGGAGAATGCTGGGTTCTGTAGCAAACAGAAAACAAACCATTTTTTTCCCCATTCATTGAATGATTTACACATCTTTAGTTCCAGGATGACATTCATAATCACAGCTGGACATTGCTAAAGGGAATTTCCAACTGATTTTATGAATATTATAGGTTAAGCCATATGACATAACACAAATCAGAAGTCCTACCTAGGTTCCTGTCCCCGCCCTGCTATACATGGGCTGTAGAATTTTGAGCAAATCATATACTCTTTATAGAGCTCAGTTTCTATATCTGAAAAAAATTGTTATTCTAAAACAGCAATTCTCAAATTTTTGGTCTTAGAATCCCTTTATACTGCAACATTATTAAGGATTACAAAATAATTTTATGTGGGTTATAGCACTTCATAATTACCATGTTAGGAATTAAAACATAAATTTAAAAATATCATTAATTAATTGAAACCAACAAAAACGATCCTATTATCTAATGAATATAAATAACGTTTTATGAAGAATAACTATATTTTCTAAAACAAAAGAAAATTAAGAAGACTATATTGCTATAAATTTCTGTAAATCTCCTTAATGTTAATGATTAACAGAAGATAGTTGGATTCTCACATTTGCTTCTACATTTATTTTCGAAATACCTTATTTCATTTAGCTCCTGGAAAACATGACTGTACATTGTGAAAAAATGAAAGTGAATAAGGCAAGTCAAGTCTTGTTTTTGTTATGAAGAAAGTGTTGACCTCAAGGACATATCAAAAGGGTCTCCGAAACCCCCAAGTGTCTCTGGACCACACTTTGAGAATCACAGTTCCAAAGGATCTATAATCTAAAATCCTGTGATTTAATTAAAATTATAAACAATTCATTACAATTTTAATTATTAAAAATTACCAAAAAGTAGCCAACTTGTCTTCCTCTGTAGTAGAAGCAAACATAATTCACTTTTGAATAGCTAGGGATTTAAAGGTCATTGTTATGTTTTAGACTAAATTAATATAAATATATATTTGAAAAGTTTTAAATTTAATGTAACTCATTTGGTTATCCTTTGATGAAGTGGAGCTTGTATATTTTAAAAAGGAAACTAATGCATTTGTATATAATTGAAGCTATTGTTCATTCATATCAGACTATCAACCTACTGAAAGGCCAATGTATGTGAATAAGTGAATTGCCAACTCTCTTCATATGCCCCTTAAATATCTATGCAAATTAATTCACACAAACAAGACTCTGAAAGTGACTTCATTAGTGCCGGCCAAGAAGTTACCATTTGGGACTTCTCGCATAGAATAAAACATTTTCATCTCAAAAAACAGTTATGCAGAAAATAGCTCAAGTAATACAAAAAGCCTTGACCAATATTTATGCAAATCTGTTCTTTTCTAAACTACCAATTATATTCCTGGCTTCAGGAAAAAAAATTCCTTAAATAAACTTAAAAAAAAACCCAAAACAAACTACGGGACCTATGAGAGATATTAAATGATTATTAAGATATTGAAAATTAAATAACTGCCATTTATTAAACAATCATCAAGACCCAAATTCTGTCAAGATAAATGCAACATCCTTAAGTATTTATAGTTCTTGTATTCAAGTTGAATATGGAATTAGTATGCTGTGGTGATTTGAAATATATGTACACAAATTCTTTGATAGCCCACAAATGGTGGAGCTTAATTCCCCTCCCCTGGAGTGTAGGCTGTATTTATTGATGCACTTCTGAAAAACAGAATACAAGAGAGGTGGTGCGGTGTTCCTTCTGAGATTAGGTTATAAAAAGACTGAAGGTTCTGTCCAGGATTTCCTTGCAGCCTTTTTCTCTCATTCTGATTTCTTGCTCTTCCATGTTGTAAACTGCCCCATGGAGAGACTCGCATGGTGGGAAACTGAGGGAGCTCTCCAGATAACAGTCAGAAGAACTGATGCCCTTTTCCAACAGCCTGCAGGAAACTTAAGCTTGCCACAACTGCTTAAGTGGGCTTGAAAGAAGAGCCTTTCCTGTTTGGGCTTTCAAACGAGACCATAGCCCCAGAAAACAGCTTGATGGCAACTTCATGAGAGACCTTGAGCCAGAATCCCCTAGCTAAGCCAATCCTTATTTTTGATCCTCAAAAGTTATAAAATAAGAAATGTCTGTTTTAAGCTGTTAAGCTTTAGGGCAATTTGATAATCAGAAGTAAATAAATAACAAACCTTTTCATAATAATAACTCTTAGCAAATTAGGTATAGAAGGAATGTGGTCAGAACAATAATGGCTGTCAATGACAAATCCACAGCTAACATTCTACTTAATGGAGAAAAGTTTAAAGCTTTTACTCTAGATCAGGAATAAGACAAGGATGTCCACTCTTGTCCCTTCTATTCAACTGGAAGTCATAGAGCAATTAGGCAAGAGAATATAAAAGGCATCCACATTAGAAAGGAAGAAGTTAAATTGTCCCAGTTTGCAGATGATATGATATATACAGAAAATCCAAAAGGTGCCACCAAAAATTTTTTAGAGCTAATACACAAATTCAATAAAGACTCAAGAAATAAAATCAGCATAAAAATCAGTAAAGTTTCTGTACACTAACAACAAAGTAACCAAAAAAGTAATCAATAAAACAATTCAATTTATAATAGCTAAAAAATAAAATTAAGAATAAATTAAACCAAAGAGGCTAAAGACCTGTACACAGAAAGCTATAAAACACTCATAAAATACATCGAAGATAATACAAAGAAATGAAAAGATAGCACATTTTGATGGTTAATATTGAGTGTCAACCTGACTGGATTGAAGGATGTTCCTGAATATGTCTGTGAGGGCGTTGCCAAAGGAGATTAACATTTGAGTCAGTAGGCTGGGAGAAGCAGACCCACCCTCAATCTGGGTGGGCACCATCTAATTAGCTGCCAGTGCAGCCAGGATAAAAGCAGGCAGAGGAACATGGAAGGACTAGAATGACTAAGTCTTCTGGTCTCCATCTTTCTCCCATGCTCAATGCTTCCTGCCCTCGAACATCAGACTCCAAGTTCTTCAGCTTCTGGACTCTTGGACTTACACCAGTGACTCTCCAGGGGGTCTCTGGCCTTTGGTCACAGACCGAAGGCTGCACTATTGGCTTCCCTACTTTTGAAATTTGGGGACTGGCTTCCTGGCTTCTCATCTTGCAGACGGCCTACTGTGGGACTTCCCCTTGTGATTATGTGAGTCAATTCTCCTAATAAAGTCCCCTTCACATATTCATCTATCCCATTAGTTCTGTCCCTTTAGAGAATACACACATGTTCATGAGTTGGAAGAATTCAAATTATTAAAATGTTCATATTACACATTAAATGCACTCCTTATCAAAATTCCAATGACATTTTTCCAGAAATAGAAGTAACAATCCTAAAGTTCATAGGAAATTACAAAAGACTTTGAATAAGCAAAGCAATTTTGAAGAAAAAAGAGCAAAGCTGGAGGCATTATACTACCTGACTTCAAAATATATTACAAAGCTATAGTAATCAAAATAGCATGGTACTGGCATAAAAACAAACACATAGACAAATGGAACAGAATAAGGAGCCCAGAAATAAATCCACATATTTATAGTCAATTGATTTTTAACAATGATGCCAAGAACACATAATGGGGAAGGACAATCTCTTCAATAAATAGCATTGGAACAACCAGTTATGCATATGCAGAAGAATGAAATTAAAACCCTTGTTCCATGCCAGATACAAAAATCTATTCAAAATGGACTCAAGACTTAAATGTAAGACCTAAAAATGTAAAACTACTAGAAGAAAACAAAGCGGGAAAAGCTCCATGACATTGGTCTGGGCAATAATTTTTGGAGCTATTACCCAGAAAGCACAGGCAACAAAAGCAAAAACATACAAATGGGAATACATCAAATTAAAAGGCTTCTGCACAGCAAAAGAAACAATCAACACATTGAAGAGATAACCTACAGAATAGGAGAATGTATTTGCACACCATACTTCTAATAAGGGGTTAATGTCCAAAATATATAAGGAACTCAAACAACTCAATAGCAAGAAAACAAATAATCCAATTAAAAAATGGGCAAATAACCTAAATAGACATTTCTTAAAAGAAGACATATAAATGGCAAACAGGTATATAAAAATATGCTCAATCTCACTAATCATCAGAGAAACGCAAATTAAAACCACAGTGAGATATCACTTCATGCCTGTTAGGATGGCTATTATCAACAAGACAAAAGATATGTATTGGTGAGGATGTGGAGAAAACGGGACCCTTATATACCACTGGCAAGAATGTAAATTTAATATAGCCTATGGCAAACAGTATAGAAGTTCTTCAAAAACTTAAAAATAGAACTACCATATATATGACCCAGCGATTGCACTACTGGGTATATATACAAAGGAATTGAAATTAGTATGACAACAAAATACCTGTACTCCCATGTTCACTGAAATATTATTTATAATAGCCAAGATATAAAATGAACCTGTGTCCATCAATGGATAAGTGGATAAAGAAAATTTGGTATATATACCTAGTGAAATACTACTCAGGGTTAAAAAGACAAAAAAAAAATCCTGTCATTTGCGACAACATGAATGAACCTAGAGGACATTATGTTAAGTGAAATAAGGCAAGAACAGAAAGACAAATATTGCATAATTTCAATTGTATGTGGAATCTAAAAAGTTGAACTCATCTAAGTAGAGAGTAGAATGACGGTTACCACAGGCTGGCAGGAGTGGGACTGGGGAGATGGTAATCAAAGGTTACAAAATTTCAGTTAGATAGGAGAGATAAATTCAAAAGATCTATTGTCCCACATTGTAGCTATAGTTAATAACAAAGTATTTTATGCTTGAAAATTGCTGAGAATGGATTTTATGTGTTCTCATTGCAAAAAATAAGTATGTAAGGTAATGTATATGTTAATTAGATTGAGCTTGTCTATTCTACTATGTGTACATATTTCAAAACTTCATGCTGTACATAATTTTACATATATATAATTTTTGTCAAGTAAAATTAATAAATAAAAAACCTAATAAACCTGTTATCTTGGAAATGGCCACACGGTCTTAGTAGAACAAACACAATTTTTGGAATCAGGTAGATTTCCATTCAAATTCTGCCTACTTTCTACTAAGTCACTAAAGCCTAACTACTGTAAAAAAGCCAATGATACTGCTTATATTTTCCATGTTGTTCTAAGAACTATAGAAAATACCTGCAAAGCAATTAGAACACTGTCTTAATGATTACTGGCTATTATTATTCTGATTACTTATATTTATAGCTAAGGCAAAATATTTATTTTTAATTTTAGATAGTTTAACAATTAAGCTTCTAATACAACTTTTGGCTTCAGTTCAAATTAGAAAATAGTTGTTTATTTCTTATGCACAAGCTACTAAGTGCTCACTCAGGGATTTGGAATTGGGCAGATCACTTAATCTGCATTGTCAGTGAATACTAAGCACATTAAAAATATCTGATAAAGTAATATACCTCCTGTTGCAGGACTGGACAGAGTAGTAAAGGAAGGAGTACCTTGACCACTACCTTTCCAAACTTGGTAAACCAGTTGAGAATGGGGAAGCCCCTTCCTTCCACATTGGTTATTGACAGATACAGGAACGTTGCTCTTATCCTAACCTAAAAGTAATTAGGTCAGTGATTTCAAGCTGATAAATATCAAAAGCAAGCTCATAATTTCAAGATAATGAGGTGTTTAGGTGAGGTGTGCAAGCTGTTACTGGCCTCCTGAATTGTAGCTCTAGTACTTACAACTTGAATCTGTAACCCAGCTTGTCTAAGACAAGTTGCCTAAATGTCTAAAAATAATTAAGGCAGTATATTTGATTTGGTAGCAGATAAGTCCAATGTACATGGTGTCTTTGTGCTGACCCTACCAAACTAAATCAACTGTTTTTATTAGTAGTTTTCTATATAAAACTTGGATATTCCTTAGGATCCAACATTAAAGCAAACTAGCTACAGTGATTTAATAAAGCAAAACAAAAAACCTAAAGTACTAAAAGTTATTTCTTTAGTCCCCAAGGATTGTGCAATTGCAGATAATAGTGCAATTTTTTTGACTGGAGCAAAACTCAATTGATTTTCAGATCCAAGGGGCAGTTTTCCCCAAACTACATTATCTTTATAGAGCTACGGTTTTACACACAAATGGTTTCTACGATGAGAGAGAAAAGTAAAAGACTAATATTACCAACACAGCAAATTGGTATTTAAGACAGTAGCACTAAGACTTAGTGGATGATTTTCCTCTACAGTGTCCTCAGATTTTATTGGGCCACCAAATCACCTATAGAACCTGCTAAATATGCCTAGTCCTGGGTCTAACTGTGTAGGCCTGAGGTTGGACCTAGGAGCCTACATATTTAATAAACGTACCAGCTGATTCTGATACAAGGACCACACCTCTATGCATAGAGTGAAACTCTGCTCTAAAGTTTGAAACATTCCTTAAAATAAATCAAGAATGTCCTATTTATATATACATGCATATATTTATATATTCTTAGATATGGGGTATCCTGGGACTGTGAGACTCTCTAATATTTAAATCTATATCTAAGAGAATGAATAACAGATGTATCTGCAAATGTGACACAACCGCATCCCAAAAGAAAACTCTAGCAACTTCTATGGGCTCTACCTCCAAAATATATTCATCGAATTCTCCTTGTCTCCCTCAGCTGATATCACAGACCATGACTACATCATCTCATGCTGGGGAAACTGATATAGATGCCTAATTGGTTTGCCTACTTCCACTTTTATCCCCTTACAATCTATAGTGGAAGGGAGCTTAAAAACAGCAACAAACAAACAAACAAAACACTAACTATGGCACCTTGCTCAAAATCTTTGAAAGGCTTCCCATTTTATCATATAAATAAAACAAACCTTTTTACTTGATCTGACTGTGTTCCTGCCCACCTCTTTGAAGTCATCTATTAAGACTAATGCAAAAAAATTACTTTTGTAATTAAAAGTAATTACTTTTTGCAATTGCTTTTAGTTGCAAAAACTGCAATTACTTTTGTATAATCCTAATATTACTACTTTTTCCCCTGCTCTTTAAGCCAAACTATACTGGCCCTCTCTTTTCTCTTTAAACACAAAGAGCTCATTTTTGTCTCTTAGCACTTGCCTTGTATTCCCTTCATGAAGATCTCTACATGGATGTTTCTTAATCCTCATTCAGGCTTTAGTTTCAATGAACTCCTCATAAAGCCTGACTTCTCTGTCTTATACTAAGATGTCACCCAGGTCCCCTATAATAATTGCTTTTTATAATATTTCCTTGGTTGATTTTCTTTATAGTTGATCATTCAGAAATAATATTCTCTACTAATTAATTCCATTATCTGTCTCCCTGAACTAGAATGTAAATTCCTAGAGGGCAAAAATGTGTCTATTTTGTTCACTGTGACATATATATAATATATAGAAAATATATGTTATATAAAAATACATTAAATATATTATATAACATATGGTATATATGATATAATATATACATATAACAATATATAATGATGTCATAACAACTGTCACAGTTGTGTATATATAACATATATACATGCATATGTATATAACACACACATATATAACAACTATACACATACATATATGTATGCACATTGTATATACATATCAAATGTCATAGGCATTGCATATATATAACATCTGTGACATTGTTTGGAGGACAGTAGGTGCCTCATAACTGTTTTTGAATAAATAAACTCTACTGATTAACATTTACACAACAGAAAAAATTGGTCTTTTTATCTGCTATGTGTTCCAAGTAAACCATAAACATCTTCAGTAGGTATGTAGTTAAAAATCTATCAGATTAGTAACTGATAAAAAAAAAGGATCTGACTCAAACCATGTCAAACATATATACACAGATAGAAAGTTATTCTGATGGTTCTTTATTTAGATGGAAGCTTTGCCATTTTGCAATATGTATAGGAGTGTTTGAAGGTTTATTTAGTATCCAACCTACAGAAGAATAGGTCTTCTCAGTTTATTATTCATGCAAAAGATTTTTATTTATACCAGAAAAAATATCTTACTCAAGAACCAACTTTATTTATTAATTTGCTGACATACCAACTTTAGTTCTCATTCCTTTTCTGCTCTCAACCTCAAGTTTCTCCAACATTAGAGGGCACAGGGGTGGATATGTGGTTTTAGGAAATAAAAGGAGCAAGGATGAGGTGATTTAAATTGAAAACAGAATTTAGAGCCAATGACATACACATGAATAGGATCATGTGAAGGCAACAGTAAACTAATGTTTTGTGACTTTTTCAGATGTAGAAACTTACCCAAATTTAAGCAAATAGTAACTTGAATACGCTAATTAGACAATGTGTTTTAAGATATATTGTAGTAAGAAACCACCAGAATAATTCTATTTATTTTTTAAGTAGCAACATTATCTCCAAGGCCCTATGTGATTTGAATCTGCCTTCTGTCTTTGTAATTTCTTCTAGAAATACGGCACATTAAAAAGGATGACTATAGTGGATAAATTCAGGTTTCTCTGCCCATCTAGAGCCAACCTTATTGGGCACTGCTCCCCTCCATAGCCCCTGATGAACCAAGGACTATGTCCTCATGTTTGGCATGGCTAACTTTCCCTGGGTGGACATCTGTTTTAGGCTGTATCTATCATATTCTTTTCTTAAAAATGTGGACTCAAAATATTGAGAGAGTGAGTCAGTTCATTCATCATTAGAATATGAAAAGGTCATGGTTTGGAAAGGGCGGAGAGGATAGCAACAGAGAGAACATAGCTGCCTATGAGAAAGTGGAAGAAGTCAATACACAGTGGCAGAACAATGAATCGCAGGTGCCATGGAAAACGTGCACAGGGCTCCTGAGCAAACCAGAGATGCAGAGAAAGAAACACAGAGAGGCACTCTTTGTTCCTGAAGCCTGCTTTAGGTCCTAGTGCTCAAAGAACCCTGGATATTTTTGGAATACTGGATTTTCCCAAATCTTGGGCATCCTATTCTGGGATGTGTCTGAGATTGCTTGTTGTGTTCCTATTCAATACATATTTATTTAGTGCATCCTATGTGCCAGGCACTGCACTTGGCACTTATGGCACATTGGTCAAAACAAAAACAAAAACCACAGATTAAAAATATCTGCCCTCATTGAAAATACATTTTAGCAGGGGGAGATGGGCTATGGATAACAGGAGTAACAAATAGGTGAATTACGTACTATGTTTGAAAATAATATGAGTTATAGGTGCTTTGGACAAATGAAAAAGTAGAGCAATCTAAGAAGTATCTGTTGTCTTGGGAGGACACTGAAGTTGCAATTTTAAGCAGAACCATCAGTGAGGGCCTCATTGGCAAGCTGACATAAATGAACAAAGACTTAAAATGGATGAAGGCCTCAGTTATAATCCTATCTATAGAAAGGCATCCGAGGTAGAGAGGGCAGCCAGTGCAAAGGACCAAAGCCAGGAACATGTGTGGTATATTGGAGAGGCAATGAGAAATCCAGCATGGCTGGAACAGAATGTGCAAGGGGAATGAGTAGAAAATGAGGTCAGAGAAGTGCAGGGTTGGCAGTCACATAATACTCAATCTTATAGGCTATTGTTTGGAATTTGAGTGAGAGTTTTCACTATTATGAGTGAGAGTTTTGAGCAAAAAAAAAAAAAAATGATATGATCTGGCCTGTGTGTTAAGAGAATTATTCTAAGCTTCTTTGTTGGGAATGTTCTACATTGGGTTGGTAAAAACTGAAGAAGGGAAACCAGTTAGAAGGCTCTTGTAGTAACCCAAATAAGAGATAATGGTAGCTTAGAGCAAGGTGGAAACTAAAGAAATGATGAGAAATGATGGAATTTTATAAATATTTTGAAGATCCAGCTAATAGGATCTTCAAAATATTACAAGTGGGATATATGAAAGAGAGAGTGGACAATTATGACCTCAAGGTTCCTGATCTGAGCAAATGGAAGGTTGGAGTTGGCATCAAGGAAGATAGGGAAGGCTCCATGCATTACAGGTTTTAGAAAGGACACAGGAGTAAAGTTTTGGACATACAAATTTTAATACACAAAGCTTGGCATTTAAGAGAGAAGCCTGATTGGAGACAAATATTTCAGTGCAATCAGCATACTGATGATATTTAAAGCCATGCAACTTATGAGAAATTCCAAAGAAGTGAATGCAGATTAAGAAGAAGACCAAGAATTAAGCCCTGATGTCTTGTATTAAGAATTCAGGTTGATGAAAAGGAAACCACAAAGAAATCACTGAGAAAAAATTATAAGTAAGGTAAGAAGGAAACCTATTAAGAGTATGGTCAATAAAATCAAAGAAGGAAAATGTATTAAGGAGTGGAGGCTAAGGAACAGTTTCAATTGCTCCTGCTAGAACAGATCATGCAAGATAACACCTGGATTGTCCATTTAAGTTAGCAATGTGGAGGTCACTGGTAACCAAGATGAACACAATTTGGGTGTCATGGTGGAAGGGAAAGGCATACTGGAATAGTTTTATGTTAAAATAGAGACTAGGTGACTAAAGTAATTTTGCTAAAAAAAAAAGTGGGGGGAATAAGTGGCATGGTAGCTAGCAGGTTCACTGGGGAAAATTAATTTTTTTGAAGTTAGAAGAAATAACAGCATGTTTCTAATATTGTCAGTAGAGAAGTAAAAAAACGATGGTGTGGAAAAGAGAGGGTGAATGGCTGGCGCCATCCCCTTGAGTGGGCAAGATGGAGGGATTATATTTAGATGGAAGCATGAGAACAGCAAGGACAAGGCAGAGCATGTGGGTGTGGATTCTGGTAGGTGGGTAGAGGTAGTGGTGGGAGTATTCAGTGCTCTTATATGATGATTCAGTTTTCTTAGTGAGGTGGGAAGCAAGTTCATTAGCTGAGAGTGAGAATGCAGAAAGAGGTGTTGAGAAAGTAAGGAGAGAGGGGAGAAGGTATGAAGTAGTTGTTAAGGACAGAGGGAGAATGAATGGGCCAGGCAGGTAAAATGTTATTTTCCAGCAACGTCCAAGGCCTAGGTGGCTTGTGGTCATGAATTTAAAGTGTGAGCAGTCACTGTCCTTTACTTTAGTGAGCTTAAGTGGGCTTTTTCTTCACATCCAAAAAGCCTTGACCAGAATATAAAATTGCATGGAAACAGCTTTGCCTCCTTGAAAATCTGTGGGTGGCAACTTTTTATTTTGATGTCTTAGTGATGAAAATCTAGGGCACCATTATGTGTGACTGTCTTTTTTTGCATTGGCAGAGAGGGGGAAAAAACAAAAAACCCCTAACTCAACCAAGTACATATAAGCACACTTAGTCCAAACTGTTAATATTTCATGGGTAAAATGTACTAGAAAAAAATACGTATTCAATACTCAAAAAGATGATTATTTGCTATTTTTTCCTCACCTATGTCATTTTCTTGTCCTTCACTATTATGTAGAGTTGACATAGTTGTAAGACTTCCATAAAACAACACTGATAAACTTCTATAAACCTAAATTTTTTCCATTGTTTAAATAGCATTTTTAGCTAAGTTTGAAATGTAATACCTTTCAAGAGCACAAAATTGCATCTGACACACACACACACACACACACACACAGAGATTGCTCATGAAGGCATAAGAAGGCATAAGATTTCTTTCCCTCAGGGTATAAGGATGGCAGTAGAATAGGTACGCTTTTACCATAATATTGGTGATGATAATACATGATAACAAGAAGACTATTTTTAAAACTTTACCATTTGCCAAACACTATAAAATGTTCTAACTTATGTCTTAATACAATAAAACTACAAATGAATTATTTTTATCCTCTCTCTGATTTATAAACTGTTGATAACTGGGATTTTTATTAGGCTAGAAAAGCACTACAGATGAAAGATCAATGAGTAAGTAATTAACTCATGTTATACTTTGTCTTTAAAAAATGGAGGCCGGGTGCGGTGGCTCATGCTTGTAATCCCAGCACTTTGGGAGGCTGAGGCAGGTAGATCACGAGGTCAAGAGATCAAGACCATGCTGGCCAACATGGTGAAACCCCATGTGTACTAAAAATACAGAAATTAGCTGGGCATGGTGGCAGGTGCCTGTAGTCCCAGCTACTCAGGAAGCTGAGGCAGGAGAATCACTTGAACCCCGGAGGCGGAGGTTGTGCAGCAAGGCAAGATTGTGCCACTGCACTACAGCCTTGGCGACACAGCGAGACTCCGTCTAAAAAAAAAAAATTGTAAAAAGATTATGTATTTCATAGAGTAGGCTACTGAAAAGACCTTGCAAATGACAAATCCTGTAGCACTGGACACTCCTGTTACCTAGGTTGTAATCTGTAACTATTATATTCCATTAAAAGCAACAATGGCTCTTTAGAAAAAAAAATGACTGATTCCCAGTCTGGGATAGGAAGAGTACAGGATGAGCTTAGAATATTTTATCATATTAGAAAGCAAGGAAGAAAACAAAGAACACTAGGTTTGTATATAAGAAGGTTCAGATGTTGATGTAAAGAGGTTCCCAAGAGGCAAAAATAAGGGGATAATATGGATATCAATAAAAATGGCATCTGCATGGATCATAATACTTGTAATATGTTTATTTCTACAAGTTGTTCTCTTTTTCTCTCTCTCTCTTCAACAGTCAACACTGGATGATACTACAGAACCAATTTATTATTTTAAAAACTGGCAAATACGGAGCATAAAGCCTTGTCCATTCTCAGGGTAATAAAATCTTTGAAATAAGGGAAATTGTTTTTATGTAGAAATATTCCAGCTAAAATATTAAGAAAGAACAATAGAATGAGAATATGACCATTCTCTGAGGTGTGATGAATAAATGAATTGAGGCTGCTAACACCACAAAAAGAGAGGCAATTAAATGTTACGTATTTCCTGATGCAAATACCTTTCTCATTTTGAATTATTTTGGTCAAAAAATACAGTAACCTGAATATAAGTTTTAAAACCTAAAAACAAACCCAAAACATAACAATACAAAACACTATGGGAAATGGAAGAAAAAAAAAACAGAGATAACATGTTAAAGGATACTGCACCCTCACTTGAGCCCAAGAGTTGGAGGCTGCAGCAAACTATGATTGCACCACTGCACTCCATCCTGGGTAGCACGGTGAGACCCCGTCTCTAATAAAAAAAGAAAAAAGAAAAGAAGATACTGCACTACAATAATACCATCAGCATTCTTTCAGACTGTGAGAAACAAAAAAAAAGACTCAGCTTTTCTAACATAAAAATTATAAAAGAGAAATAGAAAGAGAAGGAGGCAAGAAATGAGAGACAATTACAATTGTATGGGCTTCATTTCAATCCTAATTTGAACAACCAAATTGTTAAAAAAATGATATATCTAAATATATAGGAACACTGAATTTTCAATGATGTTAAGAAATTATTTTATTATATTTTTATTTTTTAAACTTTTAGGGAAGGAATTATTTTAAATTGTTAAGTGTAACAATGGTATTTATTTATGCTTTAGAAATAATCCTTATCTTTTGGTGTTACAAAAGAAATACTTATGGATATAATTGCATGATATCTATGATTTGATCCAGACATATCTGGATCACGTTGGGGTATAATAAGGGTATAGACTAAATGGGACTGTTGAAGCTGGATTGTGAGTTCATGAGAGTTCAGTACACTATATTTTCTATTTCTGTATATGGTTGAAATTTTTGATTATAAAAAATAAAAAGAAATAAGGAAAAAAGACAAGAGAATTTGAGTTTTCTTGCCTGTTGACATAGCACTGGTAGAGAACAGAGGTGGGATTTAAATTCAGGTCCATGGCTTGTGTTTTTACTTTTTCATTTTTTAAGCTACATCTTCCTGTTTCTTCAGCATATCAAACATCAGATTTGGGAAGCTGCAGCTGAAGGAACCCTTGAAGCCAGGAATTCAAGTCCATCCTGGGCAACACAGCCAGACCCTGCCTTTATAAAAAATTTAAAAATTATTTGCCCATACATACCTCCTGAATGGTATTGCCTAGGTTTTCTACTAGGGTTTTTATGGTTTTAGGTCTTACATTTAAGTATTTAATCCATCTTGAGTTAATTTTTGCATAAGGTGTAAGGTAGGGGTCCAGTTTCAGTTTTCTGCATACGGCTAGCCAGTTTTCCCAGCACTATTTATTAAATAGGGAATCCTTTCCCTGTTGCTTGTTTTTGTCAGGTTTGTCAAAGATCAGATGACTGTAGATGTGTGGTTTTATTTCTGAGGCCTGTGTTCTGTTGCATTGGTCTATATATCTGTTTTGGTACCAGTACCATGCTGTTTTGATTGCTGTAGCCATGTAGCATAATTTGAAGTCAGGTAGCGTGATGCCTCCAGCTTTGTTCTTTTTGTTTAGGATTGTCTTGGCTATATGGGCTCTTCTTTTAGTTCCATATGAAATGTAAAGTAGTTTTTTTCTAATTCTGTGAAGAAAGCCAATGGTAGCTTGATGGGGATAGCATTGAATCTATAAATTACTTTGGATAGTATGGTCATTTTCATGATATTGATTCTTCCTATCCATGAGCATGAAATGTTTTTCCATTTTTTTGTTCCTCTCTTATTTCCTTGAGCCGTAGGTATGGGTAAAGACTTCATGACTAAAACACCAAAAGCAATGGCAACAAAAGCCAAAATTGGCAAATGGGATCTAATTAAACTAAAGAGCTTCTGCACAGCAAAAGAAACTTTCATCAGAGTGAACAGGCAACCTACAGAATGGGAGAAAATTTTCGCAATCTATCCATCTGACAAAGGGCTAATATCCAGAATCTACAAGGAACTTAAACAAATTTACAAGGGAAAAAACAACCCCATCAAAAGGTAGGTGAAGGATATGAACAGACACTTCTCAAAAGAAGACATTTATGCAGCCAACAAACATACAAAAAAAAAGCTCGTAGTCACTGGTCATTAGAGAAATGTAAATCAAAACCACAATGAGATACCATCTCACGCCAACCAGAATGGCCATCATTAATAAGTCAGGAAACAACAGATGCTGGAGAGGACGTGGAGAAATAGGAATGCTTTTACACTGTTGATGGGAGTGTAAATTAGTTCAAACATTATGGAAGACAGTGTGGCGATTCCCCAAGGATCTAGAACCAGAAATACCATTTGACCCAGCAATCCCATTACTGGGTATATACCCAAAGGATTATAAATCATTCTGCTATAAAGACACATGCACACGTATGTTAATTGCGGCACTGTTCACAATAGCAAAGACTTGGAACCAACCCAAATGCCCATCAACGATAGACTGGATAAAGAAAATGTGGCACATATACACCATGGAATACTATGCAGTCATAAAAAAGGATGAGTTCATGTCCTTTGCAGGGACATGGATGAAGCTGGAAACCATCATTTTCAGCAAACTAACACAAGAACAGAAAACCAAACACCACATGTTCTCACTCATAAATGGGAGTTGAACAATGAGGACACATGGAGATAGGGAGGGGAACATCACACACTGGTGCCTGTTCGGGGCTGGGGGGCTGAGGGAGGGATAGCATTAGGAGAAATACCTAATGCAGATGACGGGTTGATGGGTGCAGCAACCCACCATGGCATGTGTATACCTATGTAACAAACCTGCACATTCTGCACATGTATCCCAGAACTTAAAGTATAATAAAAAAATTAATTTTTTTAAAAAAATTAGCTGAGCATGGTGGCCCATGCCTATAGTCCCAGCTACTAAGGAGGCTGAGGCAGGAGGATCGCTTGAGCCCAGGAGTTCTAGGCTTCAGTGAGCTATGATGGTGCCACTGCACTCCAGCCTGTGCCACAGAGCAATGCCCTGCCTCAAAAAAACAAAAAGAAACATTAGGGTTAGAAAGCAATCATTCTTTCTTTAGCTGCAGAAACACAAACTATATTTACAAATAAGGCTGGATAGAACATTAGGAACAGTTAGTTTCCTGGAAACATAAATAGCTGGTGTTTCCTGAATAACCAGAGAGGCTAGAATCACTGTAGTTGTAATTGTAAAGAAGATTCTAAAAGAAGTATATTTTAAATATTCAGTGTTTTGTTTATAATTTTAACAAGTTACAGGGGAAAATTGTTGTATGTTTTCGTAAGATTCATTTTCCTGTTTCACATTTTATCCAGGGTGCTGAAGTGATAAAAATCACATAGTATTTTCAAAATATAATACATTAAACACTCATTATGTAAATGTGTAATCCAGGAGTAACATGTGCAAGTTATAGTATTTATTCTATATTCCACACTATGTCATTTTTAATGTATATATACTGAATGGCAGATACACAAAAATAGGATTATTTATGATTACACACACACACATATAAATCTATATAGGACAATATATTTATTTCTATAACCATAATTATATTTGGTAGTCATTTCATCTTTTATTCTTTGAAAGATTTTTCCTCTAGTCTCCTGTTTTAAATTCATCTAGACATTGTGATAGCTAGGAAGAGTATACGATATAGTTTTGGGTTTTTTCTGTTTTGTTCACAGTATTATCTCCATTCCCTGGAACTGTGCCTAGCATATAGAGGTTCTTGATAAAGGCAGAACGAATGAATACTGAACTCTTGATGCTAAATTTCAAAATGGTAACATTCCAAAACATTCATATGTAGGATGATCACTTAAATATAAAATGTTGGAAATGTTGGATTTAAAGGGATCTTAAAATGTCTCTACTCCAACTATCCATTTCATATTTGGTTGTACTTCCCTCTGTATACATAGGTGTACGCCCATAGCATACCTTAAAGTGAGAAATAAAAAATAACTTTTGATACTTCTTTCCCTCAAATATTTACATTAGATCCTTCTGGCTGACTGATAATTAGCCACTTAACCTAAAGAAGTACCATTCTAGTCACTGTAATTATTACATGCCATAAGCCAGGTTTCTTACAAATTCATTTTAAATTATTGAATAATTTTTATATTATTTAAAAGACTCTTCAACTATATAATAAAGAGACTTGTCCAGAACAGCCATTCCGTAAGTACTTTTTAAAATACTTTAATTAAGAAATTTTTTTCTGGCTTTTATTATAAAATATTTCTCCCACCAAATCTCACTCCCATGAATTTTCCTGTGGTCCTTAATCATGATCACAAATGTATGCTTTTTCAAATGAAGAATGGTTTGGCCATGTTAAGACAAATTAGTGGTACTGAGAAAGGCTCAAGCTACAGCTAAAGAGAAACCGTTTTTTGGGCAGAGTTAGTAGGAAGTGCAGACCAATGCTCTTCATCATAGACTTATGATTCTTTAGCCTAGGTTTATAATCCTAGTTTCATGGGTCTCTAACATACATTCCACTTGTGCAGAAAAGAAAACAAGGTGTCAATGTCAATAAATGTCTTTCAAGCATGAGGCCCAGATGAAATGGCTTAGAGGAAGAACTTATATCTTTAGTCCGTATTAAGTTCCCTCTATCTTGAATAACTTTAAAGCAAAATTTGTCATGTCTATAAAGTATTTCAATTTGTTAGTTAATTACACCGTGCCTCTTTGCCTTATTTTGTAATATACATTTCAATGTAGTATTGTTATGTTTTTATATTGACACATAATTTCACATATGTATGGGGTACATAGTGATGTTTTAATACAGATAATGTATAGTGATTAGATTAGGGAAATTATCATATCTGACTTCTCAAACACTTATCAATTTTTTGTGTTGGGAACATTCAATTTTTTAATGCACATTAAGTAACCCTATTAGAAAAACATAATTG
Organism: Homo sapiens; assembly: GCF_000001405.40. Lineage (NCBI taxonomy): Eukaryota > Metazoa > Chordata > Mammalia > Primates > Hominidae > Homo > Homo sapiens. The sequence goes on from NC_000005.10 coordinate 161,365,632, forward strand.
TTATGTAGTTTTGCAGATGAAGAATTAGAAACATGGAGAGGTTAAGATATCTGCTCCAATCAACTAGTAAGCAGCAGAGCCATGATTCTTTCCTTTGCCTGTTTATCTCCAAAGCATGTTTAAATTCACTGTGCTTTGGAGCTTCTCTAGCTGACTGCCTCATTCAAGTAAGATGCACAGGAGCCTCTTAGACAGCAGTGTAATGAAGACATTGCTAGTTACTAATGTTGCCATTTTATTTTTATTCTTTTATTCACTACGATTTGGGAATAGCTATTTCTTTCTCTGAAATTTGACTGTATCACACAACTTGTGACACTCCTTATGCCTGGGGTTATACTTAGGTGAGCCTTTCACCTGCACCTGGCAGATACTATTTACTTCAATTGTTCAATGAATTCGCATGAAAAGTTGTCAAGTTATCTAGTATGAACTCCGTAAAGCCAGCTAAGTTGGCACTTTTATGTCAGGGAGCATTTTGTTCTGGCCAATTCCATAGAGATTCAATGTTATAAAAAGTAACCTAGATTCTACAGAATACAATAAACCACTGCGAAAGAAAATGACAGTCATAGAATGGGAACCTCTTTCAAAACTGGATCTAAAATGAAAAGTATGACTGGCACGGCTAGCTGCAAGGCAGAATGCTGCTGATGAAGCAATGACCAAAGAATACCTATTATCTCTCCATCATCTAAGGGTTTCTATGTTTCCATTGCTCTTAGCCATGAAATAGACAAGTGATTGTTCTCCACATTTGGATACTTGAATCTCATTCAAGTAAATGTGCACAAAGGACTATAAATTTAGAACCAATCATTTGACATTATCTGAACAAAATCAGCAGAGATCTAATTTAACTAAAAATTTTTTTTCTATCCAAATGCCAGTCAATCTGGGTACCTGAGAGCAGAAATAACACTCACCATTATACTTTTAGCACAAGGTAAGTGCTCAATTAACTGTTAACTGAAAGAATCCACGCAAAAATGCATGAATGGTACCCTATTTTTAATAGAAAAGTAAGAACAAGGCCAGGCGTGATGGCTCACGCCTGTAATCCCAGCACTTTGGGAGGATGAGGTGGGTGGATCACCTGAGGTCAGGAGTTTGAGACCAGCCTGGCCAACATGGCAAAACCCCGTCTCTACTAATAAATACAAAAATTAAGTAGGCGTGGTGGCAGGCCCCTGTAATCGCAGCTACTCAGGAAGGCTAAGGCTGGTGAATCGCTTGAACCTGGAAGGCAAAGGTTGCAGTAATCCGAGATCGCACCAATGCACTCCAGCCTGGGCAACAGAGAAAGACTCCATCTCAAAAAGAAAAGAAAAGAAAAGACAAATCAGTTAGTATCTACTCTATTGTTGATAAAGATTACTAAAATATTGTTTAAAGAAAAATCAACCTTTTCAGAAATTCAGATATTGCTCTAAGAATATATTCCACTGATAAGGAAAAAAATCTGTGAGAGACAATAACATATTTTCTAAGTTATTAATCTTTCACTGTCTTGTTTAGGAATCTCTTGATATCTATAGTCCATAAAAGTTTCAAATTCTATTCTTTGAATTTCTTCAAATTATCATTTTGCATTTTTAAAACTATTTCAAATTGTCATGAAGGAAATGTTCTGCATGTGATTTAAAAAACATTAAAATACTACAACTTAATTCAAACATATGGGGCTCTTGTGAAGATAAATGAGATAATTCACATGAAAATGCTTAGCATGAGACCTGGCATATACTCAGAACTTAATCAGTGTAATCAGTGTTAGTTATTATTGTTGTTATTATTGTTGAACATTTAAATAAAAATTGAAAAACAACCATATATTTTTCGTTTGCTTAACTATTCTGAGTTAACGTATTTTTTTTCTCTAAAAGCAGAGACTAAGAATTATCATCTTTTTCCAGCCTTTTCCAATTTGCACTTTAGAATTTCTAGTTTGTTGTATTTAATTCCATTTCCCCTCCAAATTTTCTAACCACACAATTCATATGCACATACACATTTATTATATGTTGCATCTTCCTCAGTTGCATTAGGTAAAGCCTAATTTTTTTCGTGCCTCTAAAACACGGCAAAAAAATGTCACTTTGAGTGTCAAAAAATGTTACCACATGTTCCAAAGTTCAGTGGGAATCATATACACATTCAAAGACTAAGTTTAGCTTCAAAATACTAACACCAGGAAATAGTCAACAGAATTTCACAACATTAAATGTCTCTTCCAAAGATAAATAGGCATTCTAATGGGAGATTTTCAAGATGCATCTGGAATAAAAAAATAAAACTTCCCAAGTCCATCTGCAGTCAGGCATCTCATCAGAGATTCAATTCCCTGTACATGGCATACCTGATGTAGGTAGAAATCTTAACACTATTGTCCAATATGCACAGGTTGGTCTATGTGACCCCCAAAATTGGGATCTTGTTTTACAAGAATATCCTATTTAATTTATAATCCAATTCTCCCTCTCTGACACACACACACACACACACACACACACACACACTCTTCCACCTCCTAAAATATTTTGAAAAACTAAGTATAGATAAAAAATAATATTAGGAAAGGTGGAAAAATTGGAGCTCTGTCAGCCAAAGACAAAAATACACACAAGGAAGCAATATTTTTTCTGAAATTAACTGCTGAAAAGTCTATTCAATTAACAGTGAATGATCAATAATAGGCCAGAGATTTGAGGAGAGACCTCTGTGTCACTTTGTTAGATATTACAGCTTAGGGGATGGAATAACACATTCAGCAAGGGGTCTATGATGCCCAAAGCTGTATGATGCCCTTATCTTCAAACAATTGTTTCTCAAATCCTAGTCTAGTAGAAATATCACTTTGCTCATTCTGTAAAAAATTCTACTAGATTACAATTTGGAAGATTTCTAGCTTCTCTTGGAAAAAGAAAATTAGACCTGATGGAAATAATCTCCCGGAGTTGAGTAGAGGCTGCCTGTTCGAGATGTCGCATACTCTGCACACCTGGACAAACTGATGTATACAACCTACCTGACATTTGGAGGCAATTCGTTTTTCAGTGCCAGTCTAAGAAGCGATAGTCATCCAAACAAGACATGATAAAGACTTAGACTAGAGAAGTGTTTGTGGGGTTAGACAAGGAAAGAAGCTGAGGCATTTTGAAGCAGGATTTGTAGAGATGTTAGAGATTAGATGGAAAGTGAGGTGTAATTTTAGTTAATTGTCTTCTAAGTTTCTGGATTGACAGACTGCTGGTTACTCAATCTTTACTTAAGGTAAAGGCTTCACATTTAGCTAAATGTTTGATGGTATAATGTAGGGCCCTGCATAGCAAATTGTATTTATGACAGAATCAGTTTTATTAGATCTTATTTTTAAAAAAGAGAAGGCAGAAATCGATCCAATTATACATGTTGACAACTAAGTAATGCCTATGGGCCCCACCGCATTTACATTTGGCAACTTCTAACCCTGGAGCTTCTTATCTTTGAATTCTTTAGATCTTATTATTAGAACAACTTGCTTTAGAAATTCTGATAAAGTTCCCGGTTTCTCTCATGTGGCTGTGAACTGATTAGTATGCCCAAATCTATGCTGTGAAATAGATTTCCTGCAGGGAAACTGGCAGCTCCTGCTGTGAGACCATTGAATTGTTCTCAATCAAGGAGTTTTAAGAGCAATACTCTTTTTCTAAAAATAATATTTTAAATGACAGTTCTATTTTTGACTCTGTAGATAAGAATATGCATTAAGATAGGCATATAGTGCAGATTTCTCAAACATATGAGTGAATAGCCTCTTTTCTTTTATAAAGACGAAATTTATATGAGATGGATTTAAACTTGTCCTTTAATTTAGAAAGAACGAATGCTTTCTCAGAGAAAGAGAGAGAGAGGAGGAGAGGGAGAGAGAGAGAGAGAGAGAGAGACTGATGTCCCCTATCAGAAATTGGAATTTATTTGCATGTTAAGTTGTTTAAATGATCAAACTTTATTGAGAAAGAGAGAGAGAGATGCTTGGGGGAATGTTTTTTTAACCCTTGGGAATAGATTTGCCAAACTTCACATGGAATTTTCATAACAGGTTTGCTATATTTGCCAATAATTAGAATTTATCCATGTTAATATCGACCTGAAATCTTTCATACAATACTCTTTAGTGTATTTGCCTGACCTCTTATCTGTCTTTCTTCAGTGTTTAATATGAAATGGTGAATTTCTTACTGTGCATCTAACTTGTGAAGGCAATTTTAATGATGTTAAGGAAGTTTCCCTGACTGATCTCTTCAGACCTTTTATTTCAAAATAAATTAAATTGTCTCTGCTTGCCAGGCTCCTCCTTTCAACCTGCTGAAGACCAACTCATGACCAGAATCTCTGGGTAAGATCTAAGTTATCATCTCAGTGATGGCTAAAGTTCAGTATGATGAAACTTTCAGCAGGGCTAAAAATCTTAAGACCAAATTATGAAGAAGAAAAACACAAGGTAAGACTTAGTTCAGTGTTGCATGGCATTGGGATATGACCTTGTCAAGAAGATATTTCCTTTTCAAAAATGAAATAGCAAAAAAGTCTAGATTACTTACAGGAAAACAAAGATAGACTTGCTAAAAAGGAGGACTATAGTGAGTTAAAGCAAGTATCATTTGGTGTCCTGTGCTTTTGTTAAGCAGTAGGTAAGCTTAGCTCAGTCTACCCATCACAGTGATGATAAATCTGAATTTAACTCCAGTTTTGAGAGGCTAGCTTCTGCAGAAGTAGAGTTGAAAATAATTCTAGGAGAACTACGTGACTTGGGATGGCCTATGTGGGAAGAGAAAAGTGAACAGATCTACCGCCTCCATTTGTTAAAATGTGCCAGGGGCTTTGTGGCCAAACTCTGTAGATCTGTCATTTCACCTAGAGAAAACTGCTCTGTGACTTCCTATGGGCTCTGGATCATCCAAAAAATCTTCTCTCCTTCTTCTCTCCCAGCATTCAATTAGGACTTTTGGCAAGACTGGGTACTCAGTGTCTTCCAGCAAGAGACTGAAATCTTCTGCAGCTTGTAAATAAACTTAACAATTTAATAGTCTAGATACTTCAGAAATCCTCCTGCCATGTAGGTGGCAATAAAACCTGAAGTCAACAGGCAGAGGCCACCTTTATTACTCACCGGAAAATTTAACATGGAAGAGTACCCAAGTGGCCATTAAAAATGTCCTCTTAATTATAGGTTGGTGGAAAGAGCCATCCATGTGAACAAGTAACCCCAGACTTTACGTTTTGGAAAAGTCAGCAACGACTTTGCTATAAATTTCCCAGAGAGCAAGAAATAATGTTCCTAACCTGTTTTTCAAAAAATCATGTAGCAGTATGTTAGTATTATTTAAGAGTTCTAAGGTTAGAATAATTCCTACACTTTTTCTCACTTCTTCCTCCTCTTAGCTCTGACAGCTGGTCAGACTGGGCACTAAGAGAGTGTTAAGACATATTCTTGCCTCCAACCCCCTCTCTGACAAGAATCAATCTCCAGAATATAACAGGGTGGATTACAAGGCTGTTATTACAAGACAATACTTTGTTTCTGACCCATGATCTGGGCAGAAACTCTCTTGAAAATATACTTTTAGAAAGACCTCAAAGTTAAAAGACAGGAAAAATAATGACTAATTGTTTAAATATATATTTAAGCCATAAAGAACTGTCCTATAATAATAATCTACATGTATGTATATCTGTATGCATGCATCTGTCTATTTTAGGCCATTTCTAAAATATGTATCTAAGGAGAAGATACAATTCAATCTCTTTTAATAGCCTTCAGTGCATCTTTGCACCAGAAATGAAAAAGCTTATTGGTTTGAATTTCTATGAAAAGAAAGTGCTGATGGGATGATACAGCATAGCACCCCAATCAGCCTATGCAACAGAGCCTTATTCTAGAGCTGGTTGTCAGGAACAAGGGCAAGATCAGGTAATACATTTTCTATGAGATATTGAAAGGAGATAAATTTTAAATTTAATGCTAAAAGTCTGAGGATAAAGAGGGGGTAAAGTCCTGATACTAGAACCAAGGGAAAGCCAACTATATGGCTCATAAAAATGTTGGGGTTTTTTTTTATTGTTTTTGAGACAGGGTCTCACTCTGTAGCCCAGGCTGGAGTGCATTGGGGCAATCACAGCTCACTGCAGCCACGACCTCCCAAGCTCTAGCGATCCTCCCTCCTCAACCTCCTGAGTAGCTAGAATCACAGGTGTGCACCACTATGCGTGGCTATTTTTATTTTTATTTTTATTTTTGTAGAGACAGGGTCTCCTTATGTTGCCCAGACTGATCTTGAACTCCTGGGCTCAAGTAATCCTCCCCTCTCAACCTCCCAAACTGTTGGGATTACAGGCATGTGTCACTGCACCTGTCCATAAAAATGTTTTATAATGAGATAAATTCTATGATTACCTAGTCGATTAAATCCTTTTTCATTTGTTTTACTTGGAATTGGTAAACAGGCCAAATCAGATCTGCAGATGTGTTGCTCTGGACCACCCACAGTATTTTATTTTTTAAAAAATTACTTGCCAAAATTTTCAGGTCCTCATTTTATATAATTGAACTTGCAACTTCTCTTTGAAAAATTAGGAAGTGTGGACCCACTGGGGCTGCATCCCTGAAAAGGATGCCCCTGCATGGCCAGGATCATCTGCAGCTGATGGTGCCTGCCCTCTTTAGGAGGAAGAATGTGCTCTTTTACTTATGCCTAGTCCCCATCACCCCCTTTTGTTGTATACATGGTTAGGCTTACTTTTTTTCTTAACTCCCTAATCGCAATAGGTGTTTGACATGATAGCTCCTATTTGGGGCTGTTTCTAAAATGTGGCTGTAAGTCTGGGAAACTTACTCATTTACATCTTCCCTAAAACCCAGGATAACTTAGCATCCACTGAGGTATGTCTCCCCCTTTTCTTATACTGTTCTGCCCTCAAAGGGAAGCATTCATGTCCCTGTCTTCCCCTATCAGTATTATTTAGATAATATTAACAATAATAAAAGCAGTTAGTATTTACTCAATGCTTACTCTGTTCCAGACACTGTTCTAGGCATGCTACAGAATTCATTCATTCATTTAAAATTCACATCAATTCCAGCTGGGTATTGTAATTCCCTTTTTTACAGATAAAGCAATTAAAGGACCAGTTATGAAAGCAGGGGCAGAGTCAGGCTGTGTACCGAGCAGTGTGACTTCAGAGCCTGCATTCCTCTCTGCTATGCTGCATGCACTAAGCTCTCCTGCATTAAAATCATGGGAACAGTGTGTCTCCATTCAGGGAATAAGTAGCTCCCAGCATGTTTAGGAAGAAAGCACTAACATAGGACATTTATTTATAGAAAAATTCAACACAGTGAAGTGCTATGAGTATCAAGTATTCCAAAGCAACACACTTGCTATTGTATATATTGATGCTTATTTTTTTTTCCACTTAGAAATTCCTAACCGTATGCAAATGTGTGTTACATAAAGACATCCCTTGGGCATCCAAGTGCAGTCAACATGGGTAAATAGTCATTAAAAGAAAACCAAAAGACCCAAGCAAAAGTCCCTTCTCATCTCATACACAAGATATATTAGTCACAGACATGCAAGTTCTGCCTTTCTGGTCTTACTGTCCCCACACATTCCCACTGATTCTGTGACTTGCAGAAGCATTTCAAACAGACAATGTATTTCAAGGGAATCAAATTCAGTACACTCATAAAATTAAGAAGAAGACTAAACAATATATAATATGCCCAACAGCACTGGTATTATCAGTTCCAGAACCATGCTCTTTTGGGGCTCATATCTGAGGAGAACCTCATCTAAAAAAAACCCACCTCCCACATATTGTTCCACTGATCAAACCCATTTTATCAGCCACTGTGTACCAACCCTTTCTACTTTCACTTTGCAACATTTTTCTCACTGTCTCTTGATAACAGGCCTTTTTTTGGAATAGATTCCTAAGTGTCAGAAGTATTGAGGACTGTTCTAAACAAAGAAGATGGGAAACTAAAGTATTTTGATTCTTTCTCAGTTATTATATATTCCCAGCTCTAGCCTCTGTGCATGCCAGGTCTTTGCTGCCTCTGAGTTTATTCTACAGCTTTTCCTCCTTTATGGTCCAACTCATCAGTAAGCAACTTCCAGCCTTTTCAGAGCACAGCAAAGTCTTTATTCTCTAAACCACAGTGCTTCAAGTCTACGCCACTCCCTTGAGTTCCTTCTTTACCATCTCCTTCACGTTGTTGTCTCCAGTTCAGTCTTCTCGTCTTCTTTATTTTATTTTATTTTATTTTATTAATTTTATTTTTGTTGAGACTGAGTTTTGCTCGTGTTGCCCAGGCTGGAGTGCAGTGGCACGATCTCGGCTCACTGCAATCTCTGCCTCCTGGGTTAAAGCAATTGTCCTGCCTCAGCTTTCCTGAGTAGCTAGGATTACAGGCATGTGCCACCATGCCCTGCTAATTTTGTATTTCTAGTAGAGACGGGGTTTCTCCATGTTGGTCAGGCTGGTCTCGAACTCCTGATCTCAGATGATCCGTTGGCCTCGGCCTCCCAAAGTGCTGGGATTACAGGCATGAGCCACCACGCCTGGCCCCAGTCTTCTCTTTTGAGCTCTATCCTATTGAATCCAAGTGCCTTCTTGATATTTCATCTAGCATCACCTCAAACTTAACATGCTCAAAATGGAAATCTTGATTCCTAGGACAGACTATTAATAGTTCCTCACATAATGGTCCCTACTTGTAAATGAAACATCCTTTCAATTATTCATCCATAACTCCTCAGTTCTCTCAAGCTGTTCATTGAACCCATCAGCATACTGCATTGGCACTGTCTTCTAAATATACCTAAGATCCAATCATTTCTTACAAACTCCACCCTGTCAAAGCTATCAGATCTGGAGGCAATTAGCAAAAGCCTTCAAACTGGTTACTGTAGAGTCTTTGCATTTAATTTAGTTTCTTCCTAGGCATGCTGTTTACTCAATAAACACATGACTCAATACCTAACTTCCTTCTGTTCTCTGTTCAAATCCTACCTTATTGGATTGACCTTTCATGATCACTGTATATTGCTTAGCAGTTTTTTCCTCATTACTCTGTTTCCCTACATGGTCTTACTGATCTTCATGGGTACACATAACTATACACCACATTATATATTTATTAGTTTGTTATCTGCTTCCTCTATTACAGTATTATCTCCTTAAGCCCAATAATTTTTTTAATTGCTTATATTCAGCTTATTGCTGAGGACAGGGCTCATGGTGCGTAGTAGACATCCAATAAAGATTTGCTGAATAGATAAATAAATAAATATTCCTGCTAGACAAAAAGTCATTTTTTGCATGTTTTACTATTGCTAACCATGTATAGTTCAGCGTGAGAGACAAAATGATATTTAGAAACTGATTATTTGCTTTTCACATACTTCATTTTTCAGGAAGCTATTTGTGTGCATGAGCTGAGTCCTAGTCGTCTTCCAGGGCTCAGACACTAACATACATCACAGCCCACAGTAAGCATTCAATGACTATTTACCAAATGAATGACTTGAAAGCACCAAGGGGAAAGAGAGCAAGTTTAAATCTTCATGATACAGGTTACAAAGAATTGGCCAGGGGACTAAATCTTATAACAGTGAGTGTCGCTTAAATATAATTTCATATAAAAATTTAGGTGTCTAGTTTCCCTTGAAAAATCAGAAGATCTAGCAACAGCGGGTTGGTGTTCCCTTCAAGGAGTAATCAGGGGAGTGGAAGAATGGCTCATTGTTTCAGAAATGGTATGTGACTGTGATACTGTCTCTGCATTTCCTACTTCTCTCATGGATGTTGCTCCCCAGAGCCTTATGGTGGTTTGTCTTTGTGATTCTTCCTTTGCACAAATAACAATCCACCTCATCCCATAATTAAATAGCTTCTGAATGAACAACATTATAGCAAGAGTAAGAACGAGGCTTTTGGAGTCAAACAGGCTTTGTTTTCAGCACCAGCACTATCTTTCTAGCTGTGGGATTAGAATAACTATTACTTCAGTTCTGTAAACCTCCATTTTCTCATACTTAAGACAGGGGAAACACAATAACATCATACGGTTTAAATGAGATAATGCTTTTAAATAGCCCAGCATTTAAAAATACTCAATGGGTGTTAGCTATGATGTCAATAATGATGAAGAAGATGATGATTATTATAATGACTAGGATGATGATTCTTGACCAACCAGGATAAAAAAGTACTACTATCTCTGGCTAATCATTAGAAAATGTAATCATTGCTTTAGGTTCTGTCATTAACCTTAGCCTTCTGTTGCTTATTCTATTTAATCCATAGTCAAGATGAAACATCTCCTTGGATAAAAATGTGCATCTTGATCCTTTTAAAAATTATTTATTCCATAATACCCTCAGGATTTAGCCACATAGTCTAAAATCTATTAAGTAAAAAAAATTTAAATGGTTCTGCATTCATCACTGAAATAATCAAATCTAAAATCTGAAATCATGCATTGGGGATCACAAAGGCACAGCCTCATCCATCTTTTAAGCAGAAATAGAAAAATAAAAGGGGAAGTGGGAACTCCTCTCTTAAAGACATGTGATGGGTTGATGGACAGATAACTAATTAAACTTAGTTTATGCGAGCAATGGAGCTGACTTTCTATACATGAAAATGTTTGAATTAGAATCAACCATGGTGTCAAGAGAATTCTAGGATACAGAGGAATTTGAACTTTATAAGACCTGACCAAATGCATAGATAGCAAGGTCCATCAGAGGTAAAGTGGAAAATGAAGCCCACATGTGAAAAGACGAGAAAAAAATGCCTTTTTCCTAAGTTGAGGAAAGATAATAAAAAAAGATATTCAAGAGATATTGAGGGAGTGAGGTTGCAGAAACTCTAAAACTTTTGGTTTCATGTGCTGTTCATGTAAGGATATTTATGTGCTGCTGGATTTTGTAGGAAATTAGCTAATAGGTTAATTGAATATAAATTTATAACTAAATATATCTTATCTGCAGTAAAACATAATAATCCCAGCCCAACATTAACCAATACACTGAATGTTCATAAAAAACAATATAAACTGCCATATACCCTAATTCCTGCAATGCATTTTAATTACTGCTGTAATTATGGTAAATTCCACTGCAGGTGCAAGGCAAATGGGCCATGTGATAGAAGTAGGGAGAAAATAAATATGTACCCTGCATTTTAAAATGTTTGAAAAGGTAGCTTGGGTATATATAACAAAAAGAATTTATATAGAAACATCAAAAATGAGCAGGGAGGAAAAGAAGAAAAAAACAAAGAAGAAGGAATAAAAAGTAGGAATGGAACCTAGGGCAGCTAGGACAGGTTATTAATATAACCATGTAATAATATTCAAAGCTTTATCTAAATTAAGAAAAACTATTTTAACTATTTCTGCTCTGTATATGAAATAAAGCATTTAAAAAATTTAAGTCATAATTGGCAAGCTTTAAATAAGTTTTGGTAAATGATCTTTTAAAAATATATATGGGCATAAACATCACTTAATGAGTTTTGAGTGTCTGTAGAATCACTGTGTTTGCAGGCTGACACTCATGTGGAATCAGCTTTTGTAGCCCAGCAGCATTTTGTAAAACCCTAATGAAGGAACAGGGCCTCTGTATCTTGAATCTGCCTCCCTAAAGGTAATCATCATCCCTTATCTTCAGGAATTAGTCATAAGTCTTTGAAGTAAGCTTTTCATTTTTATAGAGAATGTTTACTGATGGAGAAATATAACACATGATGCTGTTACTGAGAGATTAAACCTGTATTACTGAGAAAAGAGTATCCTCAGCAATAAATGTAATTAAAAATCATTCTACCTGAAAAGATTTTTTCTCTATTTAGTGACTTGAAGGTTTTATAAAAAGAAAACAAAACAAAGTTTCTAATGCCTGCTGAACAGAAATGATTAAGAATTGTTTTAGATTGCAACTTCTTTGATGGCAGGGGTTACTTTAAACTGGAAAGCAATTTACAAAATATTCCAGAGTAAGTGTTCAATATATTATTAAATTACTTGTTTTCACCAACTTATGTGTGGCATAGGATCCTAGAGATTTCAACATTTATTTTTCCCCTTAAAAATAGCCCTTTATTAAATTTATAAACCAGTAATTTGGTACGTGAATCTAATTTCCTATAAAAAACACACAGTGTCTACATTTGCAGATCAACTTATAAATATTTTATATATGTTTAATTTGTGTAAAATATTTATGTAATACATATTTGTATGTATTTTTATTACATACATATTTAATACAAATACATAATTTGTCTAAATGTATTATTAAAATTGCTACAAAATATTTAACCAACATGCATAATGCTAATTAGACTGAAAATCTAGTCAGAGTTTCTTTCTTGGAATTCTAGTTTTCATTTTTCTTACCTATTTAGTTGGGGTTGAGAACTCTGGGAACTCTGAAACTAAACATTTAAGACAATAGGCTTACTAGCTTTGTGTCTTAACACAATTTATTTAACCTTTTGGAAAATCTGTTTCATTATCTGTAAATTGGAAGGATAATCATAGCTAATGGGTGGTTGTAGTGAGACTTAAGAAGGCTAAATTATGTAACTGGGTAGTACATAGTAAATGTTCAACAAGAGTTGCTCCTAATCATGAGAAGAAAAATATCCAGTCTTAAGTATACTGAAATATGAACTTCTAGATGAATTAAGCCATTGTTTCTATATCAATTTTGTTTTCCTACAATACCTGTAAATAAATGTATTCCCAGTACACTTATTCTAGCCCTTAAAATGAGCTAATGGTCACACATGTTTGGCTTCAGTTTATGTGTTTTTTGTTTCTTACTTGTTTACTGTGGTTCTAGGGGCAAAGACATGTTTTTATCAACTGGTCATTTCTGGGTTCAAGGTGATAATGGCCTTGGTGATGTATTTACCATGATGCTCAAATGAAAATGCAGTTATGGGAATTTCTAAGAGTAGATAAAGGGCATTCCCCTAACCTATTCCTATTATGCTAAAAATAACATTTAATATATGTAGATTACAATTACTTGGTTTGAAAGTTACAGCTACTAGAAGTGAAATGCCACGAAATGTCTCAATAACACAATAAAGAGTATATTTGAAAAGTGGCATCTTAAAATGTTGAAGCAAAAGTGAGAGCTATTAAAATGGAATCAGTTCCAGTGTAATTCAAGCTGGAGTGCCTCATGGAAGGCAACATATGTTGCAAAGGAGCACCTGCACACAAGGCCCAGGAGAGCTAGGCAAGCCATTTCATTTTAAAGCAATTTGGAGAAGTGGCCATCTAAAATGATTCAAATAGACTAGAAATTTGATCTCCTCATTTTCACCACTCTTCACTAAACTGCCTTCTCTTACTTTTTGGTTTAAAGTACCTTAGAAATGACATTAGTTATCATTTTAAATGAAACATCTAAAATACACTTTTAGTCTTTCAGTGAATCTGGCCCCCTTAAAAAGATGAGGTCTTCAGGAGCTGGTGCTCAGTGAAAGACAGAACTGTTTAAAACATAAACTCATTGTAGTTATCTAAGCAATGTAAGACATATTTGTTAAATGCCAACAAAAGCAAAAGCAACAACAAATTGTGGACATTGATACTCATTTTCATGATGTGGAGCTTACAATGAGATGCAAACACACCTCCTTAATATTCCAAGAATTACTACTACAGGATGTGTGTGAGTGTATGTGTGTGAATTTCCTGAGTTTAAAGAATTTATGCCTTTTCCTGAGAAGTATGCTTAGATTTATAAACATTTTAAATATTTAAGCACAATGTAAAAAAAGAAATCTCACAGCAATCACAGAACAAGACACCTACAGATGATCTGTATTAAGATATTTCAAATAATACATTCTCAAATTTCATTCCATTTCTATTATGTTGATTCGCCTCTTCAGGTGCTGAAATATTCTGGATGATGGAGTCCACACTCTGGCTATAGAAGCAGACATTCATACATTAATTCTAGCATCCATTAAAATAAGTTTTCACTGCCTGCCACTTCCAATTACCCCCTTTCTGAGTCAAATCAACTTGCACTACTAGAGCTTCATTCCTTGGTTGAAATGAAGCTCAGGTTTAACACATGTTAAATTGTAAATGCAGCTTCCAGAAAGGGGAACATTTGAAGCCACTGTCAGTTACCAGTGCCACAGTGTGAAAGGGCTGACTGCACTCTTTCTGGAGAGAAAATGTGGTAAAATATGGAGGAAAATCCTGAAGAAGAAAAGGGACAAGATGCAAAAAGAGGGGCAAAGAACACAATTAACTACAGCAATAAACTGAGGGTCCTGCCAACTTTACAGAGTTTACCTCATTCAATTCCCTTATAAAAAACTTATCTATGTGTCCCTAATTTTTCTTTTTTATTGCTTGGGCCCCTAATTCTATAGAATCTAATTCATTAAGCTTGAAATATGGCCCAGAAGTCTACATTTTAAGCAAATATCTCAGGTATTGATATAAGAATTATAAAGACTACACATTAATAGACAAATAGATTTTGAAAAAGAACCTATTGTTTTTGGAATCAGGTATGCCTTATCTCACAACTCCATAATACTACAATTTCCTTCTATAAAATTTTACCTCTTTAGGAATTTAATTTACTACTGAGGGTGTGAATTGTCACCTAGGCCCTGGAAAGCAACTTTATTATTTTATGAAAAGCCAGATCACTTTCACTGTAGCCTACAAAAATTATGGACTTTACAATTTTCTTTCTCTTTCTTAATGAAATGCTCAAATCTCTATTTAAAACCCAATTGTAGTAACTTTGCACCCAATTGCATTTGCAGGTAACAACTACTGCCTTGAGGCATTGAGAGTTGAGCTGCATTCTGACAGTTGAGGGGAATGAGCTTCCTGGGCAGAGTTTCAGGAGCATTGCTAAGTTGCTAACTTTTCTGTTTAGAACATGCAATGCTCTTGTGAAAAAAAAAAATCTGACGTTTTAAAATTGAAGAGCTGAGAGTTTCCAGAGCTGAGTTCAATCAAGTCTTAAGTAATGCAGAAAATTTGAAAACCATAAATGCTGCAAAGACAAGGGTGAGCACACACTTACATGGAGCCAGAATGAAAGACTGTATAGTGAGGTGGAAATAAAATGGTTGTGTATTGGTACACCACAATCTTGAGGTCAGTTTTTCTCAAGATTTTACAAGGGTAAAAAAAAAAGGGCTTTACTGAATGTGGGGTGAGTAGGAGGGGTTTAAAGGAAAGGTATAAAAATGTCATGGGATTTAAAACAAACAGATCTTTATGTGACTTCATAGACCCTATCATGGA
The DNA here is from genome assembly GCF_000001405.40 of Homo sapiens. NCBI lineage: Eukaryota > Metazoa > Chordata > Mammalia > Primates > Hominidae > Homo > Homo sapiens. Next base: position 161,380,987 of record NC_000005.10, read on the forward strand.
GCTTCAGAACAAAAAACATGCAGAGACACAGAGGCTTGTCCACAAATGACAGAATTAAGAGACCTCTCAATCTTCCCTGTACATATACTTATTTCTCTTTTAATCTTTTTCAGTAGAGAAAACATGAGCTTTGGAATCACACAGTACTGGGTTCAAGTTCTAGCATTTGCATGTACCAGCTTGAGTGACCATGGGTAAGTCACTTCAACTTTTTGAGCCTGAGTTTCTACATCTGTAAAATGAAGATCATAATATCTACTGTTGGGACTACTGTTAATGTGTAACACACTGAGTATAACTCCTTAGATATATCAGATATTCAGTGAATGGAATCCATCACTCTCAGCAGCACTACCATCACATCCTTATAATGACAGCAGTATCATTATAAGAATTTATTTAGAATGATGAAAAGTATATGAAGTCAACTTGTGCCCTCCTTGGCACATAAGGCAAGAGAAAGACTCAGGGTGGGGAATTAAGGGTGAAAAGAGAGTCTGCAGGTGATTTGTATAGATAATTCATTTATTACATGTAGAGATGTACTCTGACATGGTTGATGCATTGAGACAACATCCTAGAAGAGGAGATGGGCTTTATTCTGAAGGGGGTGAGTGGATATTCAGGGTACACTTTACAAAAGGAAAAATGTCTCTGCCACTTGGAGGCAGGTCAGGAGCTAAGTAGGGTGACACTGTCCATGGATCTCCATGCTGAAGATGAAATAATAAAGTATACTGAAGAGGTTACGAGCATGAGCTTTGGAGTGGGCAAACTCAGATTCAAATCCAGTCTCTGCTATCTTTTAGCTTTGCAGTTTATAACAAAAGACAAACACTTCTGAGCTGTTTCCTCATCTACTAAATAATGATAGATATTTCATACATCTGGTGTGCAGATCAGATAAAATGATATTTATATACACAGTACAGTATGGGATATGCAGTATAATTTCAACACATATAACCCATTAATATTATGAACCAGTTACATTATCTGGTTGCATGTTCAGCATCCTGTTCATTTCCATTTTGATGTAATTACACCTTTAGTGAAGTGCTCTTGAAACAGTCAATCTAATCTCAGCCTTGCTGTGCAAATGAAGAAAATATCTGGTTTTTGTCCATACTTGGTCCAATACATTGAAGGCAAAGAAGGAAAGAAGGGGGAAGAACAGGGAGAAGAACCTCTAAGTGGCAGAGGAAAGCAAATGTCAGGGCTATGTGGTTCAGTTCCCTCCAGTCCCAGGAAGTGCGCTATCCTCTACAGCCAACTGGAAAGTCTGGAGAGCATGTCGTTATGGACTAAGAAAGTATTTCATCAGAAACTTTCCCAAAGTTACTGAGATACTCATCAGACTGAGGGGGTACAGAATTGAAGCTTCTCCCTGTTTCCTAGTGCAGAACAAATCCATTTATCCTCAGATGCTTTCACGGATCATAGCTTGAACTTCTACAGTCCTTTATCTGGATCAGCCTTTAATCACATAAGCGAATGATACCATATCAATAACACTTCTGTTAAAAAAAAAGACTGCTTATTCCAAGCCCTTTTCTTAGCTCACTGGGTAAATAACATTAGGATATCTCCCTGATTCCCTGTGTCTTGCTTTATATTTTACCCTGGGCCTTCCTCCTTCCCAACCATACTCATTGTCCCATGACTTGGCTCCTAAGGACCTAAAATCTAGTCACTGGTTTAGAATATTCTGGCTTATGTGACTTGTTATGTGTCTGTCCCTTACACATTATTGGAATGGCAGCATATGGCTCAATTCTAAAGCACTATTCATGCTCACCCTGCAATCTAGTCCTATAGGCCTATTCTTCACTTTGACAGATCAAGCTTCCATTTTCCTCTCGAGCAACTCCGTGGCTACTCAGAGCTGTCATGAGGTCCCCTGAGCCGATCTCTTGGCAACCTCCTCTGAGGAGAGGCTGCCAAAAATCCAAAGAGCCTCTGCTCATCCTGCAAAGCGAGACTTGGATGGACATCAATAAATAGGGCTTTAAAGGCTTAATTTTTCTCCTCTACCTTTGTCTACTCAATGTTTTGTTTTCCCTTTTTTCTTAATTTTAAAATACGTAATTGACAAGTAAAGATTGCATATATTCAAGCTGTACAACATAATGAGTTGATATAGGAATACAATGGTTAATAATTATCATAATCAAATTAATTAACACATCCATCACTAACCATGCTGTACATTAGGTCCCCAAAACTTTTCCATCTCATACCTGAATGTTTGTACCCTTTGATCAACATGTCTTCATTTCCTTCGCTCTCCAGGCCTGGGAATCACCATTCTACTCTCTGTTTTTATGAGTTCAACTTTTTATGATTCTACATATTAATGCAATCATGTGGCATTTGTCTTTCTTTTTTTTTCAATTTTTCTAAATTTTTATTATGGATGATTCCAAACATATAATCAAGAAAATAACTTACATAAGTCATGTTCTCATTACCCAGCTTGAAGTATTATCACTTCATGCCAATTACATTTATCTGTTTCTGTGCTGTTAGTACAGTAGCCCTTCACCACTTATTAATTGATTAAAATTAAATACTATCAAAAATTCAGTTCCTTGACTGCACTAGCCATATCTCAAGTGCTCAATAGCCACATGTGGTGAGTGACTACCATTTTGGATAGTGAAGCTCTACAAAACAGTTGAACATTTCCATCACTGCGGAACAATTTATTAGATAGTGCTAATCTACATCCAACCCTCTTCCCCCACCATAGATTATTTTGAACCAAATCCCAGGCAATATCATGTCATCTAAACTTAACACTAAGAAATTAGCAATACTTGCTGAATGACGCTGAACATGTAGTTGACAAGGTTACAAGCAAAAATTGCTTAAAGTATGTATGTATAGATAGATATATGCATAAAATGTATATATGTGTGTGTATATACACATATATACGCGCAAGCTGGAGTGCAGTGGTGCGATCTCGGCTCATTGCAACCTCCACCTCCTGAGTTCAAGTGATTCTCCCGCCTTGGCCTCCCAAAGTGCTGGGATTACAGGCATGAGCCACTACAACTGGGCCATATAGACGATTTCTAAGGTCCATTGTGTATATACCCACACATATATGCATTTTATGGGAAGATGATTTATGGTGGTTCTCAATTTCTGATAAAGGTCATCTTCTCCAAATTCAATAATTACTCCTTTAAAAAGATATGTGGTCAATTAATAATTCAAAAGATGAGACACTTTAATTGCAAAGGCCACTGCAAAACTACCTTTATAAATATGGAATAAGGAATTTATTCACAGAGATAAACGTCTTGTATATATCTTATCTCTTTAACTTGTTAGAATGTAGATGAGTGCCTGGATTTTTCATCTGTTATATGGTGGTGTGTAATTGAGGAGGGGGTGGAGTGAGGTGAGACATGCTTATCAGTTTGTCTTTGTATTGATTAGGTTAAGACAGAAAAGTGGAGATTGCCTCAGGCTTCTTTCACGGTAACAGTGTTCAACTTCATTCCTTTATCCAGCCATTCAGCCATTCATTCATCCGACACCTGCTTACTAATAGCTCCAGCTATGTGCCAGGAGTATAAGTTCTTGGTTTTAATAAGGATAAGAGATGGTCTCAGCTTTTGGTGAAACTTCACCAGAAATGCAAATTTGGCTCTTGGGACAGTTAGTATTACTGAGGATAATTGTGTCAAAGCCCAGAGACAACATAAGAGAGTTTTCTTAATTTAACAACAAATGTGAGTATTTATCCAATACTTACTCTAAGGCAGGGCTTGTACTAGGTGAACCCAACAGATGAAATGCTTTCCTTATATAGGTATATGCTCCCTTTCTATCCTGCCTACATCCCCATTCTTAGAGTTGGGGGAAGAATTGCCTCTGGATGTATGGTAGAAATGATGTAAGAATGAGAAGATGGGATTATATAGTTACATACATATGCTGTGACTGCTTTTCTTTCATCCTCTGCCATCCTCTCAAAATAGAAGTTTGCCTATTCCCCTTTAAATATGCTTTTCCAAGACCACAGCCCAGGCACCCATGAAGTCGACTACAGAAGAAGCAATCCCCAGCTGCAGCTGGAATCTCCCGCATTGAGCATCCCTGACCTCTTCCAGAAAGTGCCGGGTCTCTGATTTCCTCTGCTCTCTTTTAAACTAAGAGGCTCCATCACAAGAGCTGGGATGAATATTCCTTCCACTCCAGATGCAAATATCTGCCAAGTGTATCTGCATCTCTACATACTCTGCACATATTCCCCACTGAATTCTAGCACATCAATCATTTTTGAAGTGTTTACTGCAAAATCTCTCATAAACATTTCACCGTGAAACTTTTTGCAGCAAATTTCTCTCTCCTTGTTCCTTTCTCATCTGTGGTAATATGTAGAAGCTCTCTCATTTGAAAAATTCTTTTGGAACAAACAGAAACAGTCTTGGTAACCGATGCTTGAAACTGTCATTTCATAGTATCCTTAGTACTTCAAGATTTTTTTCTTTGTGGGTGGAGACAAAAGACTCTGGGTAGAGAAATGGGAGCTAGAGAAATTGCCCTTAGCTTGTTAGCATTTTGTGGTTTAAGAATCACTATATTCATAAAATCTGAAAACAAAATTATTTTATGAAGTCAACAAATATTAGTTGATCATATAGCCTGTGCCATGCCCTGCGTTAACTACTAGGTATAAAATATTGGGTGACACAAACATGATCCCTGCTGTAGTGGTGCTTATACTTGAATGAGTACCAGAGTAAATACATAAGCTTAGTCTTTCAATGATGTATTCCAGTAAAACCGCAGGAGAATTAGTAAGAAAGCAGGTAAGTCTAAAGAGACTGTGTGTGGAAGACAGATTATAAGAAAAAAGTGAGATAAGTCAAGTAAAACATCTAAAACATTTAGGATAGTGCTTGGCACATAGTTAACTTTTAGTAACTGTTACCTATTGTCTGGTGTGTGTGTGTGTGTGTGTGTGTGTGTGTGTGTGTGTGTGTGTGTGTGTTACTTGAGAATTCCCAATTCGAATTATTTCTTTTCTACTGTTCTCCCTTTATGTCCAAGTTATTCAGCTAAATTGACCACTAGACAGTTTCCACAGATTTGTAATTTGATGCAATGGACCCAGTCATCATTTTCACCCATTTGAGGTTTGTATTTATCCTAAGTGGCCCTCATGGATTTATTTAAACCAGCAATATCTGCCAACATTTTAAATAGTGACATGATTTCTCCCATAAAATCTCCTAGCCTAAATGACCCTTATTGTGATTTAATGGCACAAGAACCACTTCAATAATTTTCGATGTCATTCAATTATCTCCACAGTAAAGACAGTCCAGAAGCTAAAAAATGAAATTAGCTTGGTGCCCTGATATGCTATAAATGTAGACTGCGAACTCCCCATATTCCTTTAGGAGCATACAGACCTTATTCCTCATACATTCCAGGAAGCTGAGTGATATTTAGAATGCTGTCAAATAACTTAAGGAGATCAACTTGTTATGGAAATATTGAGTTATACCAATATATTTGAAAAATATAAAATTTCATACTTTTTAAAATTTTTTTGAGACAAGGTCTCACTCTGTCGCCCTAGCTGGAATGCAGTGCCTTTACTTCTGCCTCCCAGGCTCAAGTGATTAACTGATTCTACCCATCCTCGCCCCAGTGCTCCCTTATGTGGGACTACAGGCGTGCTACCATGCCCAGCTAATTTTTGTATTTTTGGTGGAGGTGGGGTTTCACCATGTTGCCCAGGCTGGTCTCCAATCCCTGAGCTCAAACCTCCCAAAGTGCTGGTATTGCAGGCATGAGCCACTGTGCCCAGCCAAAAAAAAAAAAAAATTATTATTGTTTAGTAGCAAAACATCATAAGAGAAACACAAAACCTAGAAGTCAGAAGGCAAGAAGACTAGCTGACTTGACCGCGTAAAAATGTATAGTGTACTTGGGATGGAGGAGGAGGTACAGAAGAGTGTGCATAGAATATAGTTCTAAAGGGCACATAATCTATTAACACTGGCTACCTCTGGGGAACGGGGGGGAGGAATGATAAAGAAAATTTATATTTTAGTTTTTATATTTATATATCATGATCAAATAGAAATGCAATATTTTGTAATTACAATAAATGTAATTATTTTCTAATAATGTCTATTTTCTAATCCTGTGGCAGGTGTGCTGTGCTCCCTAGGTCTGAAGGCCTTGTGAATGACTGACTTCACCCTTCTGCACACTGATCTTCCTAACAATGTAAGTTAAATATGTTGGAATTGTTGGTATAATGTGGGGCTTCCTGTGTCCTGGCAGGCTCTCACCCAAGACAAGCAAAATACCAATATCACGAAACATCCCTATGGAACCGAGAGGCTGTGCTCACTGAAGCATTCTGCAGCCTGGTATCCTCTAGTCTTCTCTGCTGAGAATATATCCTTTGAGGTTATCACAGTAACCTGAAGCTTCTTGAAGGTTTATGTGTGATATTTTAGCTTTTTGTCAAACCTAGCCCTCTGGGTTTTACAGAATCAAAGAGCATGTCCATTAAAATCACTGGTGCAAATGTAAAGAGTGTCAGGTATATATGCCACACAGAATCCATCTACTACCTAGTAACTGCTCATACTTTTCTGTTTTTATGCTGAAATGGGTAATAAATCCCATGTAATAGATCTGAGAGACCCCATCTTTCATGTCAAACTGTTTTCTTTAGGGAAGAACTATATAGCTAAAACTTAATACTTAAAGGCAGAAACTCTAAAATCAAATGCAGTGTTATATTTAAAAACTTAGCTTAAATAAATAGTTAAACTATAATAGACTAGCACGTCTAGAAATTTTTTAAATGGCATGAGTTTTGAAAATTAACCAAACTTAATTAAATCTGGGGATATAGTAATATACAAACCCTAACAGTTTTAAGGATTTAATTTCAAAACTAAACCTTATAAAACTGGCTCACAAAGCCAACAGCAAGTTTTGAAAGACAAAGTAAAAAAAAATGTAGGTTGGTCACAATACCGACAATAAAACTATTATTTGGGATCATAAACTAAGAACATGTATCTTTCAATTCCAAGTTGCTCTTAGTTCACTTGAAGTAAATTTGCTGACTATAATTCCAACAATCCATGGGAAGATTTGAGAGTAGAAAATGCTGTTTCAATACATATTCCTCTAAAGTGACTTTATGGGGTGCAAAAAGTATCTATGGATGTCACATACATGAGTTGCTGTCTCCTTAATTCCAACTTGTAAAAACATTTCTGAAAGATTCAGCAGAAAAGATACTCAAAACAGCATTCATCAAAGCTGTCAATAGAAGAAGGCTTTAAAAATTAATCTGTTAGTATATTAAAAATAGCCATTTAAAGATGTATTCTTCCACAAATTTATTACTTATAGCCTATCGAAATTTTTCAAACTGAGAGGTATAAATTGCTTTTGATGCTAGCTTTTTATTATGCACATCACATATTGCTGGAACAAGTGTTGTCTTATAAAGATACACACATTCTTGACTAATTTTAACCTAGAAGATGGATAATATGTATTAGCATTAATAATCTAATAATTCTTAATGCCTTTTATAATTAAAGAATAATTTAAGAATTAATCATTTAAGAATAATGATATAAGAAATAATAATTCTTAATGCACTTAATAATTCTTATACCATACAACATCTTCCATAAAATTAGATGCTTTAGGGCTTTGTGTCTTTTTTTAGCTTTTTACTACCAATAAGTAGTATAATGTTTACTACATCACCAAATCTTTAGCCTTCCTCATATTCTAATTTGTCTTCAACAGCAACATGTTGCTTAATTACTCTATTTCAGAGTACAATAGTTAGGCTTTATTTTTGGTAAAAATGGAATAAAATCACATACAATATCCATATAATGTGCCATAAGCCTTGAATAATTCTTTTTTATAATGAAATGTTAAAAATAAATATAATTAGAAAGCTTTATTTAACCAATACCTAACTCATTTATTTTCCAGAATCACAGACTATCAAGTAAAAAGAGACTTATAACCCATATGTTCTAGCCCTGATTCTGTCATTAACCAGATCAGTGACCTTGAAAATATTGATTACTTACCTATAAAATTGGATTGTTAAACTAGACAATGTGTAGTTTTCAATTCAGTGAACTTTCTTATAGCAACAGAGAGTGGGAACAATTCTAGAATTTGATGCATCCAAGTTGAGGCTTAAACCATTAGAAGCTATAGTTTTAACAGTTTGTAATCATCCAGATGGTTCAGTTTAGTAGGTGTACCTGATTTGATCTTAGCTTGTTTACCCCGTGGAAACTAGATAATTAAGCTTCTAATACATATTCCCCAAATTATTTCTTCTACTGACTCATGTTAACAGTGAAAAACACTGGACTTTGACTAATATCATCTTGGTACTGAAGCATAAGCAATTTCAACAATTAAGGAGGTTTGTTTTAAAAGTATGATCCTTAATATATCTCATATTCATTAAACCTGCAGATAGATTGATAGATATATAAAAACATATAAAATGTGTATGTGGCCTGTGGGCTCTTGTGTATGTTTGTGGAGTGTGTGTGTGTGTGTGTGTGTGTGTGTAAAGAGAGACAGAAACAGAGAGAAAGAGAAATGAGAAAAAGAGAAGAAAATGAGGGATTAAGGAATTGTTTGGGAGTATGTGTTTAGCAGTGCTGAGGAAATCTTTTTTCTAAAAAGTTTTCACCAATATAATATCAGTATCTTTAATAACTCAAAAACCTCTAGGATACATCTCAAAGGTAATATTTTACATGGGTTTCTCTCAGAGGAGGAACAAATTACCCCAAACCTGAAGTTTTATTTCTTAATGAGTAAACAGGATGGCTTTTGGAGTCAGAAATTATGAGCTGTGCAACTGGGAACTTACCTAAATTTTTCATGAGTTTAAATTTCCTAAATTATAAAATAAAGATAATAATAATGATAGTATTAACAAAAACAGTAATACCTATTTCATAGGGCTGTTTGACAATAACAGTAGGCAATGTATAATTAGGCAACATATATTACTTGGTGTTAGTTTTCTTTCAAGAAAGTGTGAAATCAATTTGCATATGACAAACTTACAACCCATATGTAAACTAATAGATAATTAGGCCAGTTTAATCATGTTGACCTTTACGTGGCCAAATGTAAATATCTCAGTGTAGCCCTGCTACTCCCTTGCACTCAAGTCATCTCTGCTGAATTTTGTGTACTTTCTTAAATAAGTAAATTAAATATTTGGGCAAACCAGTCTAATGATGAGAAAATACCAGACAGAATGAAATTGAATGACATTCTAAAGAATACTTTCCATTTCATGACCTTGCACTTTGGAATAGTACTGGCTCTTCCAAAGAGCAAAAATTTCTCAGAAAGACTGAGAAATTCACATGCCAGAGGATACTAACTAGGCATGATAACTAAATGCAACACCCTAGGTTGGATTCATGAACAGAAAAAGACTGGATTCCATTAGTGGAAAACCTGTTGATATCTGAATAAAGACTAGTCTAGTTAATAAGATTTTATCAATGTTAATTTCCTAGTTTTGATGACTGCCCCATGGTCATGTAAAATATTAACATTAGGCGAAGTTGGGTGAAGAGCATGAAGGAATCTCTGTACTATATTTGCAACCTTTCTGTAAACCTCAAGTTATTTCAAAATTTTAAAAAATTTAAAAAAATAGGTGAAATCTGAGAGCTAACACTTCTTATAAGTCCTCTGGCCTTTGTTACTAGTCTCCATGTCCTTTCTCCCAAATCTTTGCATCTAGTCTCATCCCACAACGTAAGGCTTTCAGCACCATCTCAAACTCGCCTATGTTCTTGCTTCTAAACCAGTAAGCCAAGTAAAACGGTTAAACATATTATATCTACACTTAACCATGTGCATCTTCTTAGGTTTCAAATAAGTGGCAAAAATAGAAAATTTACGGTTCAGGGACTGTCAGTGTTGTTGGACAGAACTCATTCCAGTTAAGTTCTAAGAACACAACATCTTTTATTACTCTAATAAATTAACCAGCAATGACAGTTTTGTGGCAATTAGGTTATATAAACTTTTTCCCATAAAGACACATCATTAGGTTATATTTTTAAACCTCCATATGTCACCCAAACTTAGGCAGAAAGAAACATGCAATGCAATCTTTATGACAGATTTTCTTAAATTCCCCAGTTTTCCCATTTCTCCTGACATTTTGTTGAAATTTTAATACTCTACACTTTGGCATTTGACAGGTTTGCTTCAACTAGCTTTGTTAAGCAGGAGCATATGTTTTAAAATGGCAAACTATGTCCCCCTCTTTTTTTATGTGAGAACTGTGGGTCAATTTAACGAGACAGGTTTTTAAACAATCTGTGATATCAAAGAAGGGTTAGTAGGCTATGCTCTTTGCAAAGCAACTTTAGCTTTTAACTTATTTAATCACTGAGATATTCTCCTGGGTGGTGGGAGCAAGGGAGAGTTGGATGTGAAATATTTCACAGTGGAATAAGGCTTTGTTCTATTTGAAATACAAATTCTGAATTCTCTTATGGATTAGAAAACATAACATCATCGCCAAAAAAAGATCATGTAATATTAGCATTAGGAATCATGCCCAGAGAGAAAATGGGGACAACAAATTAAGAAATGTCTTTATCTTTCTTTCTATATGCAAAATGTAAGTAAACATGTTTCATTATTTCTCCAATTAAAACGATAATAGGTACTGACCCACAGAAGTTGGTTGCAGATACCAACAAGATGTAATGGAAAATTTTGCTTTTCTAGAATGTAAAAGGCAAGAAATGAAAACAGACCACCAAACCAGGAGACTCAGCATTCACTGATCTAAGAAGGGACTGACTCTAAGAAGGGACTGACTGCTATTATGTTCCCACACCAGGGAGCATTTCCTAGCCCTGTAACCTATGCTAAGCCTTCTGCTGTCTGTGCAGCACCTCAAGACTACAGCAGAAAAATTGACAGCAGGATTGGTGACAGATTTTGTGTGTGCAAAATTAAAATGTGGGGTCCCTTGCTCATAAATTATTAGGAATTTCAGTACCATGACAGCAGAGTATTAATGTGAGGCCCTTCTCATCATGGCCCCTGTGTTCCAGGCCCCTTCTCATCATGGCCTCTGTGTTCCAGGCCTCATGCCCATGGAGCCAACGCTGCTAAAATCTAATTCTAAGGGAAGACAGAGCTGTGCTCAAAGCTCATTTCTGTTAGGCACAAAATGTTTATCTAGGACCTTGACAGAAGTACTGTGTAATAGTATTTATGATTATCCTTGCCTCTTCTTCATATGGAAATGATCAAATAGCTAAGTAAACAAGAATAATAATATTTTGAGCTAAAGAATACCTAGTAACTTTTTGGTATAACGCCTCCATTCTTTGAAAAACTTAATTGAAATCTGGTACTTATCAATGGCTCAGACTCAGGTATCATGACCCCAAATCAATGCTCCTTCAGTAACAAAATGGTGCAAGAGAGGTTGTTAACAGCTCAGGCTTTGGGAGCAAACAGCCTGGGACCAAATTCGGACTCCACCACTCTGTGTAACCTTGGGCATGTTGTTTAACTTCTCTGTGTTTCACTTTCCAAATCTGGAAATGTCATTACTGATAGTACTTTACAGGATTAAATTAACTACTTCATATAAGCAATTCAAAACACTGACTGGCACATAGAAAGTGTTTAAGAGATGTTAGCTATTCATAGTTCATGCTTCATTTACAGAAACAGCTGTTTTTGAATATCTATAGATAATCATTTTGATTAGTAGGTGAAATGAAAGCTAAATTAGAGGGTTAAGTAAATCTACAGCTAGTTGAGTAAATTCATAAAAAAATTATTAATGGGTTGACATTTATGTGACAGAGTGCATTATTCTTGTATATTATTCAAACTTTTTATTAACAATTCAGATAAAAGGTATGTAATATAGTTATAAAATGTGTTAACAGTACAATTCTGGGAGAAAATTCTTCTAACCGGGATGCAGAAATGACTGCCAGAAGGACCAAATAAACAAGATTAAATTTCTTACACAGATCTTTTTTTTAAAAAATAAAAAAATAAAAACATGAAAGGTATCTGGTTGAAAATTTGACTGAAAGCTCCATTTGAAATCACAGGATACCTGATTTCCCAGAAATAAGTATAACAATCAAGTTGCATTAATAGTGTATACAGTGAAGGAAAGGGTAATGGGGCCAAAAGGAACTGCTAAGGTATAAGATTTCTTTATATTCTCCCTTTTATAACTCTTTAAAAATGTAAAAAAAAAAAAAAAAAAAAAAAAAAAAAAAAAAAAAAAAAAAAAAGCCACACACCCATTTTTAGTGTGTGGGCAGTACAAAAAGGCCACGGGCTGGATTTGGCTTATGACTCATAGTTTGCCAACTATGGTCTTAACATTCTCATCCAACTAAAAAGCAGGAGGAACCGTCAAAGCATACAAAAAGCCAGACTCTACTATGTGAGTCCTGAAAGAACCACTTTAAATATAAAGATACAGATAAAATAAAAATAAACAAAGAGAAAAATATTTATTATGCAAAAAGTATGGATAATGTCAGAAAGGTTATTTTAATATCCTATAAAATGCACTTTGAGACTAAGAATATTACTAGAGATAAAAAAGGACATTTCATTATGATAAATGAGAAAATTCATCAGGAAGACCTAATAATTCTCAGTGTATATGGAACAAATAATGGCCTCAAGATAAATAAAGCAAACATTTGCAGAATCAAAGGAAATATAAATTACAAAAACATAGTAGGAATTTTTATACTTCTCTCAGCATTTGATAGAGCTAGAAAATAAGCTAATATAAACATAGAAAGTATGAACAACCACATTAACCATTTTGATCTAATTGTCACATTTAGAACAGTATTAATAACCTTCAACTGCACAATACACATTTTTAATGCATGATATATTTACTCAAGATGGACAATTCTCCATAAATTTTAAAAGGATAAAAACTATAAAACAAACTACAAAAGTATTGAGTTAAAAATTGTTAAGATTACTATATATAGGAAAACGCCTACTAACTGGAAGTAAAACAATACATTTCCAAATAAATTATAAGACAAAAATGAAATTACTAAACTGATTGGAAAATATTTTAAAAACAGCATGAAAATACATTAAGATTTTGGGAAAGTGAATAAAGCAGAGTATATAAGAGGGAAACGTGTTGCTTTAAGCCTTTATAGTAGAATTCAAGCAAGATTTCAAATCGGTGGCTCAAAGTATCATCTTAAAAAAATCTAGAAAATAATAAGCAAAATAAATACAAAGGAAGTGCAGGAAGAAATAATAAACAGCAGTAATCAATGAAATAAAAACTAGAAAATAGAGAAAACTAACAGAGTCAGAAGATGATTCTTTGAAAATACTAACAAAATTGACAAATATCCAGCAAAACTGATCAATGATAGAGAATACAAATCACCATATTAAGAAAGAAAAGGGATTATTGCCACAGACACTATAGACATTAAAAGGATAATAGGTGAATACTGTGAATAACTTTATGCCAAATTTCAACATCTTAGAATAAATGGAAAAAAATTATTGAGAACTAAAATGTACTAAACTAAATATGACATACGAAGAAACAGAAAGTCTGATCTTTTTAAAGTCCCATATCTGTTAAAGATATTGAATTTGTCAAGAACTTACTCAAAAGAAAACTTCAGGCCCAGATGACTTTAGTTGGAAATCTATCAAACATTCAAAAACGAAGAAAATGCCAAGTTTACAAATTTTCAGAAAATAGAGAAGGAAGATGGATCACTGTCCCCACTCATATTTTGAGGCCAACATAACTCTAATATCAGTCCTAAAAAGGCATTTCCAAAAGAAAAATAAATAGGAGTTACAATCCAATATCCTTCATGATGCAAAAATCTTCAACAAAATAATAGAATATCACATCTAACATCATGTAAAATGACAATCTATAATGGCTGCATAAGATTTATCCTAGGAATGCAAGGTTGAGATAGGTTTATCATTAAAAATTAAATAATATAACCCATCATATTAGCATAATGAAGAAGAAAGGATATGATCATCCACTGAAGGGGCTACTTATCCTTCATCTTTGGTAAGGTTGGGAAGGATGCCAGCTGATAGCTGGAGCCCAATTTCTTTATGAAGGGATGGATATACTTTATATTCTGCGAGTTTCTAGCCTTACAAAACACAATAGTCCCATTTTTCCCCTTCTATCTTTCCATAGTTTGAAGAGCTAGTGATGACCTGAGTTTGAAGGCAAAAAAGAAAGGAGCTCCTTGAAGATAGTAAATGATTAACAAACATGATTGGGAATGGCTATTCCTTATTCATCCAACTATTCATCTATCCATTCATTATTCAACAAATAGTTCTGAGATTTACAATGCTTCGCCCTCAGCACTTTGGGCATAATGATTAAGAAAATAATCATCGTACTCACCTAATGGAGCTGACAGTTAGGAAAAAAAGGCAGACATTTATTATGAAATAACACATATAAGTATCGCAATTGTGCAAACTCCTGTGAAGAAATGTTACAGGTACTTTGAGAGAGGGAAATTAAGAAAGGCTTTGCTAAGAAATGAAATCTGATTTTAGATTTGAAGGTGTGTAGGAGTTAGCTAAGCAAAAAAGGGAAGAAAATATACTGTAGGCAAAGAGAAGAGTGAGTAAAAAAATCCTTGAGGCTATTCAAGAAAATTTTTTTCTGGTACAATGACTTCCCTCTCTGGATCTTAGAGAATGATTGGGCTGAAGAGCCAAGACTGCCCACTCCAGCCCTTATACCTTCTACCTTGCTGTCATCAAAAGGTAATTCTCTCCAACTCAATGTGATTTGCAAGAATATAATAAGTACTTGATCTTTGGAGAATTTGTGATTAAGATTTTAAGTGGAAGGTCCAGGAAATAATGTCAAGGAGAAGTTTCTATTTTCTGATCTTCTCTTCCTGCATTCTATAACCAAAGAAAAAAGAGAAAAACTTACTTTCTTTGAGTGGAAATTTTAAATGATTGTCTTCTATGTGGCATATTGTGCTTCAGAAATTGTTCCGATACTTTGGGCTCTTATAGCTGCACACAATGGTTAACCAAAAAGCTTAAAATACCAGAAACGAGGCCTAGAAAAATAACAGCTCCATCAGGAAGTGGAAAGCCACACTGAGCCCAAGTAAACCCCATCCATTCCTTCCAGGGAGGAGTTAGATCACAGACTGCTTAGCCTTTACTATGTTAGAGTACTGTGATTAGAGGGACTGAAGATTTCTCCTGGCTTCAGGACTGTCATTCAACTCCTATTTGGCAATGGAGAATTGGGCAGATCATTTGTCTTTTTCTTTCTGGAAAAATGGATACAGCATTCTCCTCATCTCTGGTTTCCCAGAAGAGAGAGGTTGTTAAAACGAGAATAACAAACCCACTTTTGTTAATAATGAATCCCTTCTGTGGCTCTTGAAAGAGTCTTTTTACATACTTTCTCTGAATTCTTTCCACGGTTTTCCAAGCCTAGTAAAGTATCAGTAAGTATATGTTAAATTGATTATCAGCTACAGGATGCCTGTTTTTTGAGCCTGTACTGTTCTTATTAAATAAATGAGAGAGTATCACCAGCATAGTTGAATTATCAAACTCTGTGTTTGTGGTAGTCATTTCATAATGTATTTATATATCAAAATATCACATTGTACACAGTAAATATACTCAATTTTATTTGTCAATTATACCTTAATAAAGTTATAAAAAATAGCTTAACACATTACCAGATTGTAATTAGACTTTCAGGAGTAAATTAATTCCAATCTCAACACTTCCAAATGTAACTTTGAAATTCTTTAAGCCCCAGTCTCCTTATCTGTAAAACAGGAATGACATTATACCTGTCCAAGGGGCTGCCATGAAGATTAAATGAGATGATAAATGTAAAGAGCTTACCTAGAATGTGTAGCACAAAATGACATTCTGAATAGTAGCTATTGCTCATCTTACATTGAAGATATTTCTTCAAAACTTAAAAGAGCCTTTTGTTAAACCTTAAGGTACATTTTATCAATGTATCTTCACAATCAAAAAATTTTATCCTGTTAGCATGACCTTCACTTAAAGCACTAACAAGAAAACAGTGGAATTAGAAAGACACAGTCAAGTAACTTTTCTACATCTGTAAGAAATCTATAATTCTTTCTGTCTTCTGCTCACATTATTAAAGTGATTTTGATACAATTATAATTCAAAGCAGCCACAATGTTACAACTCAAGGCCGGCTCATCTGTAATAGATGTTTCCCATTTCTGTCCACCAACCTTTACCATTTGGCAGTACATTTAATTAAATTTATACTCAATAGTACTTTATGTAAGTGTTTTAAGTATAAGCAAAATTCCTCAATAAATAACCATAATAAATATTTATTTCTAAAGGTCGCAAAAAGTGGCATGTGAAATCAATTTATATAACAATGAGAGTGGCTTTGTGTCTTAATTAAAAATACATCTTTTTAAAGAAGTCCTGTTTATCAGAAACAAATTTAAGAAACAAAGTGAGGAGCAGTAATTTAAAATATTCTTGACCGATTTATGGATATTATGCTGACAATGTATAAACACTTCTCTTAATAACAAGGACTGAAAGGGACAGAAGAATCACTTCCTATATTAAAACAGTTTAACACCTTAACGACCAGTTCTGACAGTGCTCGTATGACTTAAGCATCATTTTTTCTCAGTATATTTTAAATGTAGTTGTAGCTTGTTGTTATGCTGATTGAGAGCATGACACCTGAGGATAGACTGTCTGGGACTGAATCCTGACTTCACATCTTATTAGCTGTGTGACCCTTACTTAATCTCTTTGTGCCTCATTTTATTCTCATAGGGTAGATACACCACAATGAGAAAATGAACATAAGGCATTTAGTACACAGTAAGTGTTCAATAATTGATAGACAGAGGTAGATAGATGATAGATAGATAGATAGATAGATAGACAGATAGATAGATAGATAGACAGAGACAGATAAATAAATGTGACCACAGGATAATTTGCACAAAGTACCGAATATATTTGTTTAAGTAGCCAGAAATCACTTATCAAATGATTTGTGGCCAGGGTTATACATTCCAGCAGAGGGTCATATATATTAGGGGATTCCTAATTTCACTATTTTGTATTTTCTCTTGAGAGGACCTATATCTGGAGTAAACTTTAGTGAAATTAGTTAAATTGATAAATTTCCTGACTGGCTGTCATACACAAAGCAGTAGACAAGATAAAAGATAACACAGGACATAATCCTTCCTTCAATAAGCATAGTAGTCAAAGCACTTAGCTGCAAACAACAAAACTGACTTTGGCTAAATTAAACTGATAATGAACAGATCATAGAAGGCAGAGGACCCACTGTGGAAACTATGCAGTCAGCAACAATGCCCAAATGTACAGGGCAGAAATGGTCCTGTGAAGTTACCAGTGCTGCCTCCACTGAGCATCAATTTCCACCGCAGATACCATCAGCATGTGCCACTAAACACACTAAACACTGCTTGCCATCCACTGCCACAGCAGCCATCCTTAGGCTGGACTTTTCCATAGACACTGTTTTTTTGTTTGTTTGTCTGTTTTTTTTGTTGTTGTTGTTTTTGTTTTGTTTTGTTTTGAGACAGAGTCTCGCTCTGTTGCCAGGCTGAAGTTCAGTGGCGCGATCTCAGCTCACTGCAACCTCTGCCACCCCGGTTCAAGCGATTCTCCTGCCTCAGCCTCCTGAGTTGCTGGGACTACAGGCGCGTGCCACCATGTCCAGCTAATTTTTGTATTTTTAGTAGAGACTGGGTTTCACTACGTTGGCCAGGATGGTATCGATCTCTTCACTGTTTTATTTTTTGCCACCAATTTCCAACTCAAAGTTAAGTGATTAGCAGTGCCTTGGTTTTGCACCTGCCTTCTAGTTATAAGGGTGACTGAGAAGATGATTCTCTGACTTTTTAAACTTCTTTTATGGAGGTGGGTTCTGTCTCATAAAGTAAGGAATTCTACAAATATAGTGTTTGGGTATGGGCCAAGCAAAGAAATGTCCACTGAAAGCGTACACTTCAGTAGGTAGCATTTGATGAAGTTATCATGCAAAGAGGAATGTGTTAATCATATGTTAGATAAATAAACAAGGAAACAATATGTACACTGATTGAAGACATAGGTTCTAAAATCAGAATGACCTCAGTTTAAATCCCAGCTTAGCCACTCTGCTTGATACTGGGTCCTGAATTACCACAAACTACACTTTCCAGGCTCACGTTTTTCTATGGTTCTAAACGTGATCCAGACTCCGCCAGTCAGATGTACTTACGGGGGACTTGAATTCAGGACTGGGTTGAATGGAGAGAGAAGTATGGCACAGAACATCCGTTGTGCTAATACAGACTACATGAGAAGCACTGTGGTTTCCATCTAGCAGCTAGAGCAGTGACTACTTTATTAAGCAGGTGCTCCCAATATACCAGCAGGACTAGTGGCTGCCTTGGCAATACATGACTGGGCTGTAATTTTGAGAGTCATCTCTAAAAGCACAGCCTCACCTCTCTTTCTTCAATCCAGTCAATAATTCCTTAGCCCATATAATCCCCTTCTGTTGAAGCTAGTTTTATTGGATTCAATTTTCTTCAACTAAACCTTAATCAATACATTCACTTGCTAACATGGGTGGCCTTAAGTAAGTTATACAACTTCTCCAAGACCCCATGTCCTCATCTGTAAAGAGGAAATAATATATGTAGCTGCCATATATTACTATAAGAGGGTTGGGTGAGATCTTGTTTGTAAGTACACAGCACAAGATCTGGCACAAAGTAAGCATTAAATACAGGGTAGTTACTACTGATGGTGATGGCGATAATGTAATTTTCATGGAGCTGGCGGCAGTGGAGGTGTGAGCAGGGGTAGATGGTAGATTCTGGAGGCTATCATGAAGAAAGAGGTACTCGATTTGCAAAAACTAGCACGCATTATTGAAAATCTATGGAAAGAAAAATATCTTCAAGCAATAACACAGGAAGCCAAGTCTAGAATCTGAGAAAAGTCAGTCTGTGTTGCAGTTCAATGGGCTGCAACTATCAAACAAAAACAACAGGAGGTTTCTGGAAATGCTTCAGGGAAGGTGTGTGGGTGTATTTACGCCTCTGGCTTATGATGTTCACATCAGGTTTCACAAAGTGCTCTCCAGCATTCACTAAAAATGATAAGAAATCTGCAAATGTGGCATTTTCACCTAATTAGGATCAAGTATGAAATGAAGCCCAGCCAAGAAGGGAGCTTTTGCAGGATGACGGCATTGCTGGTACCTTTCCTGAGCCTAAAAGTAAACTAAGTAAACACGTTTGCATTCCCACCACCCTCCCGCTACAAAATTTGCCCACAGAGAGATTTATAATATGTTGTGAAGTCCTAAACTGCCTTTTTTAGATCTAATGGGCAATTTGAAGGCAGGGGGAAAATTAGCATTAGAAACTTAAAAGAAGGTGTCCATCTTCTTCAGAAAGGTAAATAGACACAATGTCGGTTTTTGAGTAGAGCCTTATCAAACTCTCAGTGTCCTGAGAGACATAGGAAATCATTTAGGCGTTAAGAAAATGCTTCACTTTTGAGAACCCGTAATGGGAATCAGTATCCTTGTAACTGCTCCTGGCTGTTCTTTGAGTTGAAAGCTGAGCCTTGTGCCAACATATTCCTAAGCTTGACAGCTGTGCTTACCACCTGGTCAAAGGGGTGAGTTGTTCTCAGGCTCTGGGCTCATTTAGTTACAAGTCAGCTTGTTACACGTGAGGGATTGGAAGCCAGTGGATTCAACTTACCCAGGTTTTACATAGAATTCATATTGATTTTTTTCAATGTTACAGGGTAAAAATGTAATAGGGGGTGTAGGGGGTGATGTCTACTGCTAAAAGACTTCCCCTCAATCTCTCTGTATCTAAAATTCTAGGTTCCAAAAGGTGTCTACTGATTCACGGGAAAGTCTTGACCACTGCCAGGATGATACAGGTAGTCTACCCACACTCTGCCCTCTAGGCCAGCAGTTATTATGGTATACACATGCCCTTCATTAACTGTTTCACTTTGCACACTGTATCAGAAACAGTCTAACAGTGTCTTGAGGGAATGAACCCAGAAGGTGGGTTTTCACTTGTGAGAGTGGGAGATAGTAATTTGATAACGTTATGTATTATGTTTCTTTCTGGTTTTTCCACTTAGAAATAATAAAATAATAATTTGCAAATACAAAAATAACTATATTTCAATTCTAAATGTACTTGGGGTCCCCTTTACATTTTATCATACAAACAGGAATGCGTAGAATATTATCTACCAAGAGATGAATACATTCAGGGCAGGATTTCATTATTCTTATTAATGTAATAGTGAAACTTACAACCGATAGTATTTAAGGGTAGAAAATAGTTATTTGCCATAGTGATACCTTATAAAATAGATACCCTGCACTGCTATAAGATCTGTTCAAGGCTTACCTTGTACAATAATTGTAATGCCTCAAGTATTAAATTATATCTGCCTTTAACCCATTAATTTTACATTAGAAAAATGCTGCCCATGTAACATTTAAGTCGCATCAAATGTCATGAATGTAAACCAAGTCTAAAGAAATGATACTATAAAACATTCATGCTGGAAGTTTAAGTAGAAAATTTCCTATGGCACAATATCCAACTGTATATTCTCTATGACGTGCAAACTGAGTATTTCAATTACACATTCTCTATGATGTGAAAATTCAACTTCTATGCATTCATCTTATATATTAGTGTATTCAGCAGACTTTTCTGAGATGATGGAAATGTTCTATTTGTCTCTCCTGTCCAGTACGGCAGCCACTTGTTACATGTGGCTATTGAGCACATGAAAATATGCCTCCTGTAAATGGGGCATTAAATTTTTAGTTTTACTTAAGTTTAATTAATTTACATTTAATTTTACATACCATATAGAATAGCATAGTTATATATATTATATAAAAATTTGTTTATATACAAATATATATACATTCATACATATAAAATCATGGTTGTATTTAATGATACAGCCTCAATCATATACAAATTATAACACTTAAAATAGAAACACGATAGAAATAATTTATGTTCTAAAATAGGCAACTGGTTACAGAAATTATGGTTCATTTAAATGTAGATACTAGGGAGGAACTGCAAATTATATTCTAAAGAATATTTCAGAAAATAAGATATATGTGATAATACTCTTAAATTTTTTAAATGAGGTTAAATATTGCATATGCAGTTAAATATTCATATGTGTATTTAAAAAGGTGAGTTCCAGTTTATGACAGCATATTTACCTTTCCCGCCCTACTCCAGTCTCACAGGAATAACTCTAAAAGGAAGGAATAGTAATAAATCCATACTAGCATTACAAAATGGAAAAGAATGCCATCATTCAGCCAAAAATGTTGAAAAATGTAGAAAAGTTAGAATGTAAATGAGGTTACATAGATTCAAAAATTAAAAAGAGAAACATCAACCTAAAAAAGGATTTGGATGAAGCAGGGCTAAGGAGAGAGCCGATCTTCCCACTAAAGTCCAGAGCAGTGACTTTCAAGCTGTGGTCCCTGCACCAGCAGTATCTGTATGGCCTGGGAATTTGTTAGAAATGCACATTCTCAGACCTCACCCAGGTCCACTGTGTTAGAAAGCCTGGAGATGGGGCCCCAGCAATGTGGGTTTTAATAAGCCCTCCAGGAGATTCTCCTGCCCATTCACATGTGAGAATCACGCTCCAGAACACTCATTCCCAATGCTGGCTGTTCATTATAGTCACCTGAAGAACTTCTAAAATTGCTAATTTAAGAGGCCTGTGGTGTGGCCTGATCATTTGAATTTTTTAAAAAATCCCCAGCGATTTTATAATATGCAGCAAGGTTGAGAACGTATGCCCTAGAGAATTTCCAAACTCAGTCAGCAAGTTCAACGTGAGAGTGTGCCCATGGATCTGCCAGACTGGTTCTCTTTCTCTCCTACAACTGGCTGTGGTGATTTAACCCAGGATTACAACGTAAGAAAGCCCCTTAACAAAGTGGGGGCTGCGTAGCTCCTAATTTAGATATTGGACTGAAGAGAATCAGGACAGAGTTTCAGATAGCTCTGGGCATTTCTATAAATAGAGGGGAAAAAATGAATCCCATTTCCTCCTAGGAGTGAGAGTGAAATAATCTGAAGTGCAGGAGGCTCAGATGAAAGTTGTGGTTATCTGTGAAAGGTCCTAGCACACTCTCTTAAAGAGGGAGACTGGTGACATGCCCAGATCTCCTCCTGTACCATCCTCTTCAGCAAAGAGGTTGGCTATGGAAACCATCATGTAAAAGTGCTGAGGAAATGCATATAGGTTTTAAAAACCCATATGAGAGACTTGATCTGGTCAAATTAGTCTTTTATTTACAAACATGAAATGAATTCCAAGATTAGCAGACATCTGAAGAAAATCATCAGCATGAAAAAGGAAAGACCAAGATAAGCCAGCACACATCGTCACAAAAAGAAAGAGAAACACAGCAGAAAACGTGTAAAATAACTTAAATTTTCATGTTTAAAACCAAAAGGATATTCCATGAGAACAAGTGACTATGGAAAATGAGTAACCACATAATAAGAAAGAGTTCTTAGAAACTGAAAACGTGACTGCCAAAACAAAATATTTACCAATAATAATTTATTTAGAATAAAATAAATGTTAGCAATCTGGAAGATAAGAATTGAAAATTTCAGTTCAGATCCATGGCAGATTTATGCAGGAGACCAACAATCTATTTAGTGCAAACCTCAGAGGGAGAAAACAGAGACATTAAAAGAGGACATTAAACAAATATGATTTCTCTTTACTAGGGGAAAGAACACTTTAGATAGAAAGAATTTCCTTGTGTTATTTTTAATATTCAATATTAAGACATATCCTTTATACCCAAGTCACTAGTTTACTTTCTAATATTGGAAAAATTGAAAAAGCAGAGTCTTTGAGTCCAGATACACGTCAAGGTCAGAAATATCCACAGGAAATGTCAGAGGTTCAACATGCACATCCAAGCACTTGTCTATGGTCATGAAGGACCAACTGTTAAACCAAGACCACATTCCAACAAAGTATCTTCACACAGCAAGAATGGAAAATAAATTCCTCACTTCCACAACACTGGACACAATTCAAGAAAATATCAAAATAGGACAGTGATGCAAATTAAATTTGTATGCAGTGACACCATGGAGCATTTGCAGTGTGCTTTGCTTTTTTTTCAATAAATAATTATAACTAAGCCTCACTGTAGTTTTACAGCAGTATTTTTCTAATTTAAAATAACTCAAAGATCACCTAAAATATTTATCAGCTTCATTATGTGACACCTCCACTTTACACCCCCCTTTCACACACACACATAAACAGACACATGCACACATACCTTCTCTTCTGTTGAGCCTTAAGAAGATCAAAATATTCAAGAAGGTTTAGATTATTCAGAAAGACAGAAAAATATTAGAGTTTTAGCCTTTTTCCTCATAGGCACAAGTGTGAGATGTATTCCTATGAGGAAAATCTGAGAGAAGAAAGATTGCTAGCTAAACAACAACAGACCATCAGCAAAACACATACGCTGTTCTACTTTAAATTTTAGCAGGGATGTGATTTTCATCTTTTCCTAAACAGCATTGCTCTCAGAGGTATATGCATATGGGATCTGCATCTTCACATAAACCAGGGCCTGCCTAGTTGTCCTTTAACTCAAGTCCTACATATTTTTGCTTGTGCCAAGTAACCCTTAACCTACAGCTACTTAGAGATCATGTAATCCCATCACTTGCTCAGTGAAATAATTCCTTTATTCCCAGCAAATGGTTTTACAGAATACGGCAGCCCATCTGACTTTTCACCAGCTGTAACTGCTATGAACTTTTCTTTTTTTAACTTTCAGCCAAAAATTGCCTTTTGGCATCTTTTACCATTAGTTAATTTTGTCCTTAGGGTACACAGAGTCTACTCTCTTTCCTTAAGAGGAAATTCTGCATTTATTTGAAAATAGCTATCCTGTTCAACCACTGCCATCCTTCCTAGCCTCAGTGTTCCTTCCTCAGGGTAAATGTTCCGTCCAACACTCCAGTTCCTTCTACTGGCTTTCCAGACTCCATGGTTTATATATCATTCATATTTTGGTTGTTCTGATTGCTACATATCCCTCTTAAAATGTAACTCTAACTGAGCACAGTATTCCAGCAGTAATTTGATAATGATAATGATGATGCTATAATGATAACAGCTGCTACTTATGGAAATATCAGTACCAAGCATTGCACAAAGATCTCTATCTTGATTATCTTATTACCTTTAAGGGTCACAATATTGTACAAATGAGAAACTGCAGCTTGAAGAAGCTAAGTGACCTGTTTAGCTAGCTTGAGGAAACCATAATAGACAAGTCTATCTCTATTCAAACAATACCCTCTTAATACTACACCACTTTTGCAAAGAGCCCCACCTGCTCACTACTTCCTCTGTTACAGATGTTTTGAGACTACTGTTATACTCTAAGGTGCTATCGACGTTTACCTGGGGTGGAGAAACACAATGCACTTTTCATTTTTTTAAGTTATTAAAAATACTGCATTTATGTTTACTGAAATATTAGTGAATCTATAGCATAACCCAATACAAAATATATTAGCTCCTTGTTATAGCAAATTTGGATGTAATACCTCAAATGCTTCAATATATCAATCTATACTGACCCCTTCGACAAGGATGATTTAGAATAAAATTGTTGAATAAAGAAAATACAGCCTTTATTCCATCAATGACCCAACAACATGTTGCCTTTATATAATGTACAAATTGGAATTCAGTAACACAACAGGCACATTTCTATCTTCTGCCTTCCTAAAGCATGGTGCATACGCTAAGAAGAAGAGATGCTTGTACCAAAACACTCTCACACACTCACAAGTACCTTTTGCTATATCAATCAAATAGGCTTTAGATGACCACCAGGGTTGATTGCCTTCCTTGGCCAATTGAAATGTTAATAAAACCATGAAGGGATTATATTTATAAATGGACTGTTCTTTCACTTAATCCAAATCCAGATGTCAAAATGTTTTAAAATACCCATCTTTGGATTTTGAAGCTAGCTATTAATTATTTTCCCTACAAAGTAAAATAAATTAATTTGCATTTTATACTGCAGTAGGCACAGCTGGCTAAAACATTCTATGAGGAAGTAGATAGCACTACAGAAAATGAGACTTACTTGGAATGTCAAAGCAAGGGCCAGAATAAAATCTACGAAGGTTGAGAAGGGTGATGTTGGGCTCTGGGTCTCCTTGGCTAGATTTACTAATCTCATAATTAGTGCAATCCGTGGCAGTATGGGACTTTTAAAATATAACCACCAAAACTGGGATTATTATAGTAATAATAATTATTAATTGCTGAAGTTGCTATTTATTAGATGTCTACCATGGACCAAAGCAATGTGTTAGATTCTTTGTCTAACAGACTTCATGTGAGCTTCATAACAATCTCCTGTGTTAGGTATTATTTCCATTTTACCCCTGAAGAAAGAGGGTCTACTAAGGGAGTGACTTTGCCAGTGTCTCTCAGGTAATCAGTGACTCTGAGAGGCCAGCAACAATTGGTTTCTGATGCTGTCACAAAGGGCAGTGTGTAGGACTTTTTTCTTTTTCTAAATCTTAAAAGGAGATGCCTGACTGTCTGTCTCAGTAAACACTTTGTGTATCCCTGTGAAGGCCTATGAAAGAGCTGCTGATAAAGTTTTATGTCTTCTAGTTCTTTGTAGATCCCACTATGGCTGAGATTGACTGAGAAATCCACAATGTTGAAAACGAGAACACTAAGCTCCTTCTCTGAGACACTGACTCTGGCCAGTCCAACTTACTCAGAGATAAGATGAGACCAAAACACGTAATGAATGAACAAGAAATGATCCTTTGGAATTTTAGTTATTTGAGCAGCTTAGTTTAGAGAATTCCTTCTTCCTTTTCAGACAAGCAGTTCACACGCCCTAAGTGGAAAACCTGGAACCAGAGTGAAGACTAGATAAGGCAGCTTTTCTCCTGAGGGAGGGAGGAGGGGGCATGATGAGGCCATGTAGTTGACATTGGTATTGTGTAGCTGAGCTGGCACAGAATACAGCAGAGTATCCCCCTGACTATTCCTATTTCAAAGATATATAATACTTTCACCACCTCCTTTTCACTATTTTTTATATCTGGATGGGACATATTAAGTGGCCTCACAGTGTAATGAGTTTCAATGTCCTCCTGACAATGTGATTAAAACTTATTTTTTTTTAAAGAGAGAAATCTTTGATTTGTACTAACAGTTCTAAATTATACTTGGCAGCATCAGATTCCTAAAGCATCGGCACACCTGGGAAGATTCACTATTTCTGTACTAGAACTCATTCCTAAACAGCAAGTACATTCAAAAGAACTTTGTTTATGTAGGCTTGGGCATAACTTTGTTGTTGTTTGGTGCTTTTTGGGTGACATTTCCCTAGAAAAATAGGCAGTATTCCAGTGTCCCTTTCCCAACCTGTACTAAAAGTTTCAGAGAGAGATATAAACACAATGCATTCTATGTAGACAAAATATGGTGAGTTGCCTCTGACCACACAGGTAACGGCAACATTTAAGTAAAAGGGGGCTTTAGGAGCTAGAATTGGAAAATGCCTAGGAATGGATATCTCCTTTCAATTTTAGCAGTTAAGTTTCATGGCCCTCATAGTGATAAATATTATCAAGACCCATTTAATTCTGCAAATCTCAAGAATTCTATGAAACACCCCCCATCCCTGTATATTTAAGAAAAGTTATGAAGTCGGTGTAGTCCATATTAACCTTTTAGAGCCCTCAGTACTTTATTTCAAGGCTTGCTTTAAACAGCCTTTCTTTAAGATGCTATAGAACTAAGTACTTCATCTTGGCAGCAATTTTAGCAATGCAATTTTATATTCATGCATGTATTGACTTAAATTAGACATTGAGTATCCTTAATCCAAAAATCTGAAATATGAAAGGCTCCAAAATCCAAATCAATTTGAGTGCTGGCGTGACACTCAAATACAATGCTCACTGGAGCACTTCAGATTTTGGATTAGGGAGGCTCAACTGCTAAGTATGGTAATATACTACTTACAAATATATTGCAAATATTCTAAAATCTGAAACAATCTGAAATTCAAAACATTTCTGGTCTAAAGCATGTCAGATTTGCGATACACAATCTATATATCTATCTCTCTCACCTCAATAAAGGAGGCCAGGGATATTGTATATTGCTATTCACTATTAGATCTTTAGAGCTTATTACGATACCTGGTAAAAGATTAGTGTTCAATAACAATTTAATGAACAAATACATTCCTGAGTGAATGAATGAATGAACAATTAGCTCAATCCTAATGTTCCCTGACTCCAAGCTGCCAAGAGTCAGGTTATGTTATCCTCTCCTGAACTGACCCAATGTATTGATTGTCGATATGCTGACAAGGTATTAATAATTTAGCAATGACACAGTTAGGTTAATTTTCATTTGCCAGAGGGAGGGAGGAAAAGAGGAAAGCAGAGAAAGAAGGGAGGGAAAAACAGAGGGAAGGAGGAAGGAGAAGGACAGAGAGAAGGATAAAGAGAGAGATGAGGGGAGAGCTGAGATGGGAAAGATGAGAGAGGAAGACAGATGGGAGAAAGAGAATGAGAGTGAATGAATGCCTAGGGTATGATTAAAGTAAAGGAATGGATGAATAAGGCAGAATGAGAAGCATCAATTGGAGAACCAGTAGTTTAAGGAATGGGATCCTAAATTCACTTCAATATGTTTAGTTAGTAGACAACCTATTTACAACAATAAAGCCTGGATATCATGTATATTATTAATATAACACCATATCTAATTCTCTGTAGCAATGATTTGTTAACAGTCTAAATATGAATAAGCCCCAATTTTCCATAAGGCCAGGCTATTTCTTGCTTTTTAGACTAAGGGGTTTTAGAATAAGGGTCTGTTAATCTGGTCCCTCCAAAATCAGTGTCTTTTCTAAGTAAGAAGTCAGCTATCTTCCAAATCAGCACAGAGCCACTGTACCACTAAGTGACTGAATGATCTTGAACAAATCACCTTACCTCCTTGATTTTGATTCCCTATAGTTGTAAAGACGGAAATATTAATATTGACCTTATTTAACAAGGTGATTGTGAATTGAAGTGAGATACGTAAAGCCTAAAGAATTATCATGTTAATTTTTAAATATTTGAGTCAAAATTATAATTTAATAACAGAAAAACACTTGGGTGTTGCCTGCATAATTAGGCATCCATTCTTTAAAATAAAGAGGCCTTGTTTACTTATCTGAGAGGGTTGTGGAAGGCTCAAATGAAATAATATCCATGAAAGTCCTTCACCTACCTACAACTGTGATTATTTGATATCCCAGAATAATTTTCCCACAAAAAAATGCTCTTATGTTCTCTCTGGCAGCATATATACCAAAACTGGAACAAAACATACTTTCACCACAGAAATTCATGAGTGGTACATAGCAACGTGCTTATTTCAGCATATTCTTACATCAACAATGTGAAATTACAAAAGAATTTGAACTTTGTGAAACATTATTATGCTTTCTAAATTGTAGCCGTAAGTTTAGAAAAAGCAACATGCAATGCTATCTTAAAAATATTTACATAAAGTTAATAATTGAAATCCTATGGACTAATTTCATTAACTAGTTCTATAAGGCAAAAACATAATTTGAAAATAATGATGATTTGAAATACAAGTATGCAATCAGTTTCTTCAAAAATACATGTAATTTAATTACCCTGGAAGCTATCTTTTAAATTGGGCAAAAATATCCACAATGTGTCACAAATGCCATATTTCTGCTCACAGCAATGATTTAGTCATGCTGCTTGCCAGAGCTAAAACTCCTCATAAAGGCTAAGAGTACCCTCACAACAGTCCAGTTACTCATTATTTAGAATTCTGGATATAAAATTGTCAACTTCCAGTTATTTAGTGGGATAAAGATTTAGTGAAATAAAGTATGGAAACATTGCAAAGAAGTGACAGAGACTCAAAATGTTCTTCTACCTCAAACCACCTCCCTATGTGACCTCCAAAATGGAGATGCGTTATAAAATCACCATTTTAGCCCACCCAATAGGGCAGCTGACTGAATCATCAATGTGGAAGCTAAAATCATGGCCTAGGAAAGCAAGCACATTGCAAAACAAGTCAGCACAGTAAACAGAATTCTCACACACACACACACACACACACACACACACACTCACAATCTTGCTCATCAGATGGCCTTCAGCAAAAAATATACTTTAGAGACTGAAAATAGTCCCTTGAAACAACAACAGAAAACATTCTATAAAACCTTACTCTATGAATGTTTTAACTAATCTGAAAGACCACATTTATTTTGCAATTACAAAGATAGAAAGTTTATGAGAGGCAAAGACAGGACAACTTGTGACACTCTGCCACCTCCACCTATTTTCCAAAGTCTGTTGTAACTGTTTGCACCAATTCCATATTTTAAATGCCTGAAATAGCCCTCGGTCTCCTTCCAGGCTGTTAGCATATTCCTTTTATTGCCAGATTATTTCTTCCCTAAATATCTCTCGCGAAGAGTTAGAGAGTTAGAGATGAGACTAAGAGGGTGGCAGCATAACTGAGAAAAGATGCTGTCAATGCTTCCCTCAACCAAATTTAGTTGGGCTAGCAGAACCTTTGCAGGGCCTGTGGTCTGGACATGAGCCAGGACTGGAGGCCTCTGCGTAAGAACCTTAAAGCAGAGTCCAGTCTAGCTGGATTCTCAGAACGACTTACAGCTCTCAATTTCCAAGGTGCAGTTTTGTTCATCCAGTGGGTACCTCCTTAGGTCCATCATGCAGGCAGCTGTGGTTGTGATTCTAGAAGACAAATAGCAATGATGAGTGTTGTTAGCAGGTCTAAGGCTGGAGCTGGAAATTTAAATCTAAGTATCAAAGAAGAGACTGTGATTTACCCTAAGTACTAATGAAAATGACTGATGCAACTTTGGATAACCATATTCCTTTATGAATCTCACACTGATTCAGAAGATAGAGACTGGACTAAATCTGCATTTCCCAAAGTATGGTCCATTATCTACTTGTATCAAAATAATCTGAGAGGGTTTCTTCAAAAGGCACTTCTCATGCCTCCAGCATGTGTTGGGGAGAGGTGGAGTGGTGCCAAGACTCTATTTCACAAGCATCACTGCTGACTGAGAATGTGGGCAAAGAATATTCCCATTTCTCTCACATTTATTTTCTTCTCCTTTCCTCAAGATCAGAAACATGTAATCTATCAATCTTAGTTTTGATCCATCATTTTTCACCTTTCTATACATAGTATAGTATTTTGCAGTGCTTTAATATAACACACAATCAGCCATTTATCTATACCTGATTTTGGTATTTTATCTATACCTGATTTCTGTCCTGAGTAATCTGATGTTTTCATGATCCCCTAGACAATATACTCCTATGGGATGGCATAGTTATATATTTAGAACACTTAGTACCTTTATTATGTTACCACTAATAAATAAATACGTTCCTTCAATTTGTCTTTATATTTGTCATGATTTTTTACTAATCTTTCTATTGACCTTCTAGAAGCCAAAAAATATATACATTTAGAGTTTATATATATATATATATGAGTTATCAAGGTATGTTTTCTGATTAATGAGGCATCATAGGATCATGAAAGAACACAAGTTTTAAAACATTCCAAATGTAGGTATGAGTTCCATTTTTTAGTAAAAACTCCAACAGAGTACTTGGCACATAGTAGACCCTTTAAAAATTTCCATCTGCTGAGGGAAATTAAAAGTAGAAACTAACGTTGAATCTGATCAACTTTAGCTTACTGTAGTGTGAGGGGCACTATACTATGTGTTGGGAACACAGAAGTAAGATATAGCTCCAGCTTGGGAGAAACGATCTATAGCTAGACATTTTTATTTAAAAAGTCTTGGACAAAATCTAAACCGTAACCCAGGTAGACTGAGCCTATGGAATTCCTGAGTCAGGTGTGGGAGTCTCACTCCTCAGGTGCAGAATGGAAACATGTGATTAACTTGAAGTAAGTCATTCTTGGCTCTTTTGTTTGATTTCTGTTACATTAAGGTTTGTGCTCTGTTAATTCTGTAAGTCTCCTAGAGCTGACATTTGTCCCAATTCCTTCATTTCTTTCCCCAAGTCCTGTTGGCTCTGCTGCACCGATTCCTTACCATCTCCACTGCCTCCCCTCTGAGTCTACATCCCCGATGCCTTACATCCAAATCACTGCAGGAGCTTGGTCTCCCAGCCACTCTATTCACTGCCCCACTAAACATTATCCACACAACCGTCAGATCTTTTAAAAACATAAATTAGATCTTTTCACTCCTCTGCCTAACATTTTCAATGGCTCTTCCAAGATGAGCCAGAGTCCTGGCTATAGCCAGTATCTGGAGTACTCTAGTCCTTTCCTTCCTTCCCAGTATCATCTCACTCCATGTCCTCAATCAATATCTTTCGGCCTTCTTACTTGTTCTCTCTGCCTAGAACACGTGTCTCCCTGATCTTTATAGAGCCCTTGCTCCTGATCCCTCAGTTAAAAATGACCTTTTCTGAGAGTCCCTTTCCAAGCAGCCCACCCAAAGTGGTTGCCTTAACTAATGCTCCATCTTATCTTTCTGTTTATTTCCTTCAAGCAGTCACCAAAATCTGAAATTATTTTGCTTATTTATGGCTTGTCTGTTTTTAGAGACAGGTTCTTTCTTTGTTGTCCAGGCTGGAATGCATTGGCACAATCTCAGCTCACTGCAGCCTCAACCTCCTGGTCTCAAGCAATCCTCTCACATCCTCCCAGAGTGCTGGGATTACAGACATGAGCCACTGCACTCCCTTATTTATGTTTTATAAGAATCTGTCTTCCAATAAAGTTTAAGCTGTTTAAGGGCACAGACTTTGTTCTATTTGCTGTTAAGGAACTCAATAAGTATATGATGGATGAATAAATAAATAAATTTATAAAGATGCCAGGAGTTGGTTTTGCTCATTGTAAGTCTTTCTATTAATATTTGGAAGATTATTTTATTACATTATTTCTCTTTTTTTAATTTAAAATTAGAATGTGTCTTAGGTTGTAGAGGTTCTTTTTATATTTTAACAATAGATACATTTTAATTAATTTAATTAAGATTACATAAATAGTACCAGAGTTTATCTTATCAACTTCATTGTTTATGTTTTCAATGGGATTTACCAAATTCTTATATTCTATAAATTCTATTAAAAGTTACATTCGCATTTTATTGTTCACTCAAGGTCAAAAAATTATAACTTATTTTGGCTCTGTGACACTTGGCTAAATTTCTCACTGGTCCACTGATGTTTTTTGTTTTTTAGTTTGGTTTTACATGTACATTCTGAATTGCCAGTAATATACAGAGATCTTTACTATAGAGAGCAGGCATTTTCAACAGAAATAAAATTAGGTACATGATGGGCATATTAAACACCAATGCTATTTATGTAAAATGGCAGAAATAATCCTGTCTTGAGAAACTAGAGAAAATTAACCTCATCTGATAGAATGAACACAAAAGATATGAAAGTTACAAGGACAAGGGCATATATACAATTAAAAAAAGAGAGAGAGCCAAGTATAGAAGCCTTGATTGTGTTAATGAGTGAAGTTTGCAATTGCTACTAGAGATTGTGGCTCACACTTTCTGCTGATACATGTTCACGGCAACTAGCATCCGTGAACTGGTGCTGGAAACACCAAGAAAAATATGTTGGCTAATGCTACTGCAGGAGCAATGAGTTCTACTCATGTTTTAAAAATAAATTAGAAGAAAGTGTTTTCCTCACAAACACATTCCTATTTAGTCCAGCATTTTACTGTTGTTTTAATGATATAATACACTTCATAAAGCTAAAAGACATTTATAATGTCTTCTAGTCAATATTTACAAAGCATTTGTAAGTGTCTTCTATTGGATTAGAACAGAAACTTTGGAGCCAAAATAGTCCACTTGGAGTCCTGATCATATGGTCGATGATGAGTAACAGACAAGTCATTGTATTCTCTGACACTTAGTTGCCTCATCCTGAAAATTTCAATGAAAACTTGCCACCTTACTTTGCTGTGATATAACAAAAGTAGGAATGTTTTTAACTCATAAACTGTTATGCAACTTTTTTTATAGTTATTACTACCTGCTAACGTGTAGATACTGTGATAACTCATTTTACTAGAAGTTATTTGGCAGTATGAGTACATGTTTATATACATAAAGACATGTGGAATACCCATACACTTACATTATAAACAAGGCAGAGATATCAAGATGGATGTAAATAGCTTCCCAACACATAAATATGCAAAATAAATAATTACTCCCTACATATACATGGAATTCTATGCAACAAAATATAGATATACAACAAACTTGCATCTTTCCAGGTGTGTTATGAGATCAGGAGCCACATCTGTTCTGTCATACTTATATCTCAAGCCCTTTGATAAGTACCTGGCACATGCTACCAACCCCAAATAAAAAATATTAATTATTATTATAATAATAAAACAAATATAACAATAAATAAAACAAAGGGAGGGATCAATAAACATAAGCATCCCAAAGCTAAGGATTTTGATGCAATTATCTATATTTAGTAAGTGCCTTATTTAACTCATGTAAAAACTCTCAAATATATTTGGAAGTTAAAATATAGAAGAAGCTGTCCTGGAATTAATCTATTCCAAAAAGCTCAGGAATAAACATCTAAATCTGTTGTTTGAGACTTTTTGATTTATAACAGAGCTGTTTCTACAGGAAGAAGTCAATACAATAAACACAGTTAATGAGCTTTTCATGAACATGTCTTTCTGAGTCATGACAAACATGCTTAATGGACCTTAAATAACTCAACGCCACTACTAGGTGTCTTTGAAGTGAGGCTAGTACATCATTATGCAGGTATCCTGATTAATTTTTAAGACCATTGTGAAACAGCTCTGTCTTCAATCAAAGGAAAGAGTCAATGATGCCTCAAGAATGTGTCTTATTTATCCGTAGTAAGTCGTCTATAGTTAAAAGTGGAAATGTGCCTTCTGTAGGGTAAATTCTATTGTATGATGAAGACCACCCTTGGGAAACATCAATATTCTCACTGGACTAAGAGATATTTGGGTAAATGTTTTACTACTTAGCCATTGGGAAATATTATCCAAAAATGAATTGTATCGTAAAATATTAACACAGAGCAAGAAAACAAATACATAGCACAGCCTAAACAGTCACTCAAGGCACCTATAAAATCAAGAAATGCAACAAGTAAGCCAGGATTTTGTACCAAAGCCATACGAAATATTTTATAGTGTCATTACCTGAGATTTATTGATGCTAACATAGTATTCCAAGTTTGGGTTTTTTGTTTGTTTGCTTTTGTTTTTTGTTTTGAGATGGAGTTTTGCTCTTTTGCCCAGGCTGGAATAAAGTGATGCTATCTCAGCTCACTGCAACCTCCACCCACTGGGTTCAAGGGATTCTCCTGCCTCAGCCTCCCTAGTAGCTGGGATTATAGGCAACTGCCACCACACCCAGCTAATTTTTGTATTTTTAGTAGAGATGGGGTTTCGCTATGTTGGCCAACCTGGTCTCAAACTCCTGACCTCAGGTGATCCACTTGCCCCAGCCTCCCAAAGTGCTAGGATTACAGGCGTGATCCACCGCACCCGGCCCCAAGTTTGTTTTTGTTTTGTTTTGTTTTGTTTTGTTTTGTTTTGAGACTGGGTCTCACTCTGTCATCCATGCTGGAGGGCAGTGGAATGATCTCAGCTCACTGCAACCTCCACTCCCCAGGTTCAAGCAATCCTCCTACCTGAGCCTTGTAAGTAGCTGGAACTACAGGTGTGTACCACCATACTTGGCTAACTTTTTAAATTTTTTGTAGAGACAAGGTCTCACTATATTGTCCAGGCAGGTCTTGAATTCCTGTGCTCAAGGAATCCTCTCATCTCGGCCTCCCTAAGTGTTGAGATTGCAGAGATGAGCCACCATGCCCAGCCAGCATTCCAAGTTTGGATATGACATCTGGATCCAAGTTTGATAATGACCAAAGATAGCCATTAATCAATAACAAATGACTTTGCCAGCCAATACGAAAACCTCAGAATCATAATCAAGGTGACATAACTTGGGCCTTTCAGTAGACTCCTTAAGAGGGGCTTCAGGACTAGAATATATGTTCAAACATGTGACTAAACATGTGAGAATCTTGTTAGGATTTTAACCAGAAATTATAAGAAAGTGACTTTGAACTTCTACC
Source organism: Homo sapiens (assembly GCF_000001405.40). Classification (NCBI taxonomy): domain Eukaryota; kingdom Metazoa; phylum Chordata; class Mammalia; order Primates; family Hominidae; genus Homo; species Homo sapiens. The sequence continues at coordinate 161,416,500 of NC_000005.10, forward strand.
TTGTTTGATTTCTTTATATAAGCAACCATCCAATTATTCCACGAGAAAAAAAAAAATTAAACATCTTTGAATGTTTAAAAAAATTAGATGCCTTGGCTGAGGCAGGAGAATGGCGTGAACCCGGGAGGCGGAGCTTGCGGTGAGCCGAGATCGCGCCGCTGCACTCCAGCCTGGGCGGCAGAGCCAGACTCCGTCTCAAAAAAAAAAAAAAAAAAAAAAAAAAAAATTAGATGCCTTAACCCTAACTATATTCAAAACATATTGTTGTAATACACAGCATGCTTTTACTTTGCTCAAAATGTGCATTTACATAAAAGCACAATTTATTCTAATTACAAAGAATAAAGACATTCTCCAGCATTAGTGGGCATCAGTTACTAAAGAAAAATTAACATGTTAAAAAGGCCAATTATAAAAAATATATTGATATATATTTTTGCAAACTACAAAGCAAACTAATATAAAAACTTCAGCTAGTGGGGGGAAAGATCTAATTGCTGAATTTAAGCATTAGAGTATGAACTAAACTTCTGAAAATTCTACAGAGCTCACCTGAGTCTTTTCCTCCAACGTCACTTCAAAAAATTCTTACTTTCAAATTCTCCAAGAAGACTTGATGTTATTCTGTGTCTCACAACCATTTTAGTTAGAAAATGGAAATAATATCTTACTTATATTTCCCTTATAATATGCTCTTATGTTTTGTAGAACAGGTAAAACATTGCTTGTAGGAGTTAGGTGACTTTCACTTTGGCACTCTCACTAATAACTAACATATTAATTGATCACTTACTATGTTCACGACACTAGTGTCACTGACATATATAATCTCATTTAATGTGAGTTAAGTCATATTGTTATTCCCATTTTATACATGAGAAAATTGAGGCACAGAAAAGTAGAGTGATTTTCCCCAAGAGTCACACGGTGAGTGGTAGAGCTGGAATATGAATTTTGGATGTTTGACTCCAGAGACCACATTTTTAACTAGAATGTGGTAGCTAACTTCCTAGTTGAACTTGGTAAAGTCATTTAGCTTCTCTGGAGGATTGATCAATTTCTTATATACCAAATGAGCTTAGAAATTCTATAATCCCATGAAAATACATTACATGTTCTGTGACCTTGTATATTTTGTAATTTTGTTTTACCCACACATTCAAATGCTGTATTTCACAGCTGTTCATTCTGTTTTAGTCAATTATGTAGATTAGCCCACCCCAGACAAGCAAATACAGGCCTCTCCCCAAGGAGTCCCACTTAATATTTTTCCCTGATTGAAGGTCTCCCTCAGCATTCCTCGCCATTCTATCCTCTTGATTTACCTCCACAGAGGCCTTCTGCTCAGATTAAAATCTCCAAGACTCATGCATAAATGTTTTTAAAAGCTCTTTAAAAGTCCTCATAGTCATATGCACTACTACGCTCAACTTTGTAATCACCAAAAAAAGTAAGATTGCTAGCAATCATGTTCCCATTTGATAAATCATGCATTTCAGATTAGAGCTATTTGTACTCTTCTGCAGCTGTTTGGCCTTCTGTGACTCTTTCATTTTCTGGAATCTTATCCTCTGCAAAGAAACTGTGACCATTAAAGGGCTACACAGGTTTCTGCCACAAATTCAGGCACTATTATGAAGACATTCCCTTAAATAGCATCCTGTGGAATCAAAGCAGCACTATGCAACAAAAATCTCATTTTTGTGAGCATATAAATACTACTCAATTGAAAATATTAATAGATATAGATACATCAGCCTCAGTCATTATTCTTCTTCTGTTGTTAGTTCTTTGATGACCAACCTTTCTCATATTACATTCCTGGCGGTCTCATCTATAGGTACTTTGTTTATCTCAGAGGTGAGAATATACTGTCTTCTAAGTTATGTCTTAGAGGAAGTCTGCATCCCTGAAAAAGGGTAATCATTCTCTTTTTTAAATTGTAACCACTGAAATCTGGACTCCTATCTCCCACCATATACAAAAATTAACTCAAAATGGATTAAGTAGTTAAATATAAGACCCAAAGCTATAAAAATCCCAGAAGTAAACGTAAGAAAAACTCTTCTTGACCCTTGATCTAGGCAAATAATTTATAGACTAAGACTTCAAAAGCAAATGCAACATAAACAAAAATAGACAAATGGGATTTAATTAAACCAAAGGGCTTCTGCACAGCAAAAGAAATAATCAACAACAGACAACCTATAGAATGGGAGAAAATGTTTGCAAACTAGGCATCTGACAACGACTAATATCCAGAATCTACAAGGAACTCAAACAATGGAACAAGAAAAAAAATAACATCATTAAAAAGTGGGCAAAAGATATTAACAGAGATTTCTGGCCAAGTGCTATGGCTCACACCTATAATCCCAGCACTTTGGGATGCCGAGGAGGGCAGATTGCTTGAGCCCATGAGTTCGAGACCAGCGGGGGAAGCATGGCAAAATCCTGTCTCTACAGAAAATACAGAAATTAGCTGGGCATGGTGGCATATGCCTGTGGTCCCAGCTACTCGGAAGGCTGAGATGGGAGGATCACCTGAGCCTTGGAGATCAAGGCTGCAGTGAGCCTTGGTTGAGACACTGCACTCCAGCCTGGGTGACAGAGCGAGACCCTGTGTCAAAAACAAACAAATAAACAAACTAACAAAAAAGATATTTCTCAAAATAAGCCATACAAGTGGTCCACAAACATATGAAAAAATGTTCAACATCACTAATCATCAGAGAAATGCATGTTAAAACCATAATAAGATACCATCTCATCCCAGTCGGAATGGCTATTATGAAAAAGTAAAAAATAGCAGATGTTGGCAAGGACATGGTGAAAAGGGAACACTTATACACTGTTGGTGGGAATGAAAATTAGTATAACCTTTATGAAAAACAGTATGGAGATTTCTCAAAGAACTAAAAATAGAGCTACCAACCAACCAAGCAATCCAACTACTGGGTATCTAACCAAAGGAAAATAAACCGCTACGCCAAAAGGATAACTGCTCTTATATGTTTATCTCAGCACTATTCACAATAGCAAAGTCATGGAATCAACCTACGTGTCCATCAACAAATGACTGGATAAGGAAAATGTGGTATATATACACTGTAGAATGCTATGCATTAATGAAAAAGAATGAAATCTTGTCTTTGCAGCAACACAGATGGGGCTGAAGGCCATTATCCTGAGTGAAATAATTCAGAAACAGAAAGGTAAATACGGCATGTTCCTCACTTGTAAGTGGGAGCTAAAAAATGTGTACACATGTACCTACAAAGGAAAGCAACACACACTGGGGACTGCAAAAGGCAGGGAGGTAGGAGGGCAGTGAGGGTTGACAAATTACCTACAAAGTTCAGCGTTCACTATTTGGGTAATGGGTACCCTAGAAGCCCAAGCCTCACCATTATGCAATATATCCACATAAGAAACCTGATCATGTAACCTCTGAATCTATAAAAATAAAAATAAATAAAAATTTAAAATGATCATGATAAGAAATATAGTTGAACCAGAGTCTCTTACAGACTAGAAAGCCACTCTCTGTTTCAAAAGTGATTAATTTTTTTCTCAATGTAAAACAAATGCCTCAATATGCCAGATACTTTTTATTGCATTCATTAAAATATCTCTCTAATATTTTATTTTGATTTGTGACACATCAGAGTCATACCATTTCAGAACAAGTTTATCAGTTTTATCCCAGTCTTTTAATTTTTTTAACAAATGCAAAAAAAAAATGTGGCTTGAAGATGTTGATGTACAACTAGCCAGTGACAGACCAAGTGACAGCCTCAGCTGGGTCTCTTTTCACTTATTCCAAATATTATTTTTCACCCTTGCAAATATTATTTTAAAATGTGAGCTACACATGTTGGGTGTCTTCCCTTCCTTTTCAGTTCCACAATCTACCTTTAACCACCAAGTTGTGTATCCCTAAAGAGTAGACAGTTTGGACTTCCGAAACAGGCTCCCTGGGCTTCAGGGCAGATGTGGCCAATGGGGAGTAGAGCAGGAGTCTGGGCTTGGAGGAGCGGGAGACCAGGGAAATTGTCTCCCTCTGCAAAACGTGTGGCCAGGTTGCCCTGTCTTGCTTCTGTAAGACCTGTGGCCAGGTTCCCTTGTCTGTCCCCTCCTTTTCTCCTTCAGAAATGGAAGGCTGCAGAGCGGGTGGCAACCTGGGGATTCTATCTCTGGGAGGGAGGGAGTGCTGCTCTTCTTTTTGTAAATAGTCTTTTCATTGCACTCTCCTCAAATTACCCCATTTTCAGTGTGCCATCTGCTGCCTGTCAGGTCTCTGACTGATAGAATACATTGCAGAAGTGTACTTAAAATCTGAGGTTCTTCTAGCTAGGCTGTCCATCAAAAAATTAGAACTCTTCCATTCCTGGGTCCTTTGTGTTGGGATTTTGGGGTTAAGGGAATGAAAGTTCCTACCACCTTAAATGAACTTCCTCCTTTCTATCATTTTGATGTCAGCTCATCATAACCCACCTAAGGAGCCTTCTCCCACCACCCAACTAAAGCAGCCCTCCTTCCCTCACCATTGGCCACTGCCTCATCCCCAGTTTTATTTTCTTCATGATATTTGTCACCATCTGAAACTGTCCTGTGTGTGTATTTGCTTAATTGCTATTTTCTAGGCACTTTAGTGCATTCAGCTCTGTCTAGTGTTGGGTTTTCCAGAAGCAGACCCTGAAGGACATTTATTAAGGACCACCACCTGTGAAAGAAAGGAAGCTGTGGGGTTGAACAAAGACGGCAAACTGTGCTACATGATGCAAGCTCCATGGAGCCTCAGCAACCCAGCAGGGGAGATCTGGCAGGAGTGTTGCCATTAGAGCGACCCCCAGATAACTGAAATGACTTTTATATCCTCTCTTTCCCACCGCCACATGTTTACACACCTTCCTGGGACACGCAGCATCAGTAGATGGAGGAAAAAATATGTGCAATTACTTTTTTTCTCTCTCTCATGGTAAGGCACTTGCTGAAAGTTCAGTGGGCAACATATTCTGTGGCTGACTCAATGACTCAATCTCTAACATGCCCCCACACATATTTTCACTGCAGTACATGGTTGCAACTGCATGGAAAATATGTGTGAGAGCTTGTTAGAGGGTCCTTTGGTGTCGGCTTCAGGAGAACCCAACATCAGACAGACCCCTCAATCCACTATGGGGCCCAGAAAATAGCAATTAAACAAATACATCCACAGGATATTTTCAGATGGTGACAAATATCATGAAGAAAACAAAACGAGTCAGTGACCAATGGTCAGGGAGGAAAGCCTGTTTTAACTGGGTGGTGGAGAAGGCTTCTTAGGTGAGCTATGATGAGCTGAAATTTTCTATAACATAAAATAAAATAAATATTTCTTTTATATAAAATAGGCAGTAAATATGTGGAAAAATTCTTAGCAGCATTAGAAACCACAAATATGTATTAGAAATAAAACTTAAGCCATGACAATTATTGCTTATCTAATCAGCAAAAATTAAAGGAATTATAATATCTGGTACTACAAATTCTGGAGGGAAATAGATCCTCTTGCACATACTGGCAGGAGGACTGTAAATTGGCACAAACTTTCTGGAGGGTAATTAGACAATATTTATCAAAATCCACCAAATGTGCAAACATGTGTTCCTAAAAATTCTACTCTAATAAATTAATGTGAATTTATACAAAACTGTATGCCAGGATGTTAAACACAACTTTATTTATAGTTGGGCAAAAAATCTCAGAAATATTCTAGGTAAGTACTATATAGGTATATATGTATATATAGCTAATATATAAGTAGATTTAAATGAATTTTGATTCATTCCATATACATACTATATAGATGTAAATGTATATATAGCTAATATGTAAGGATGTTTAAATGAATTTTGATCCAGTCACATGATATAATAAAAAACACTTTAAGAAGAGTGAGGACATAGGAAAGTTTTATTAATAAGTGAAAGTTAAAATAGCATACAGGAAATCAAGTTGTATAGTATGATTTCACATTTATTTAAAAAGGTTTATTAAGTGTACAAATGACTAAAATTATACTAAAATAGGCAGTGCAAATATAGTTGATTTTTGTTTTCTTATATTTTCTACAGTTTCACTGTTTCTATGGTGAATATGCATTTTTCCCTCTAAAAAATGTTATTAAGAGAATTTTCCCTAAGTTTGCACTAAGGGCATTCCTTGTCAATAACTTACTCTATTTGCATTAGCTTATGTTCTCTACATGAGATATGGAATATGCATGGGATACTAACATTCCATGGGTTGTAAATGATCAGCATAACTATATCAAATGTAGGCGCTTCCATAAACTGCATGTGCCATTTAAATGTTGGTGGAAATATCATCATTTAATTACAGGTTTTCAAAGTAGAAAAGATGATAAAATGATGTCTATACAAATATCTTTCTAATGATTGAATTCCATCCATAAGATCTCTATAATTATTGTTCTAATGAATCTCTTTAGTGCTTTGGAACTCATTCTCTCTGAAAGGGAACTATTCCATCTTTGAAAAGCTATGATTACCAGGAAGTTTTTTCTATATTTAACAGTTTCAATTCAGTTTTTTAATTGTAAATTATTTATTCATGTATTTGCAGGTTGTTTTTGTGTGTGTGTGTCTGAGGGGTGTTTCTCTTTTGCTTAGTGATGCATTCTAGTTTTTGATATTTTGTTGTGATAAAAGTTATCAATCATTTACATTGTTATTTCTTAAACTGTTTTGTGTTGGGAAAAATCCCTCTTCATCTTGAGAGAAGAAAGATTTCGAGATAGGCATACCTCCTTTTATTGTGCTTTGCTTTATTGCACCTTGCAGACATTGTGTTCTTTACAAATTGAAATTTTGTGGTAACCATGTGTCAAGCAAGTCTATTTGTTCCCATTTTCTTCCAAATCATGTGCTCACTTCCTGTCTCTGTGTCAAATTTTGGTAATTCTTACAATATTTCAAACTTTTCAATTTTTATTATGTCTGTCACAGTCATCTGTGATCAGTGCTTTTTGACATTACTATTGTAATTGTTTTGGGGAGCCACGAAGCATGTCCATATAAGACAGTGAACTTAATAGAATGTTTGTTTTATGACCAGCCATACCTATCTCTCTCTCTCTCCTCAGGCCTTCCTATTCCCTGAGACACAACAATATTGAAATTAGGTCAATTAATAATTCTACAATGGCCTCTAGGTGTTCTAGTGAAAGAAAGATTTCCATGTGTACTTTAAAGTAAAAGCTAGAAATGATTACTCTTAGTAAGAAAGGCTGAAAACTAGGCCTCTTGTGCCACAAAGCCATGTTATGAACGCAAAACAAAAGTTCCTGAAGGAAATTTAAAGTTCTATGCCAGTGAACACATGAATGATAAGAAAGCATAACAACATTATCGCTGATGTGGAGAAAGTTTTAGTGCTCTGGATGGAAGATCAAATCATCCACATTAAGGGAATCAGCTTAAATTCCCTTAAGCTGAAGCCTAATCCAGAGAAAAGCTCTAAATCTCTTTAATTCCATGAAGGCTATGAGAGGTGAGGAAGCTGCAGAAGGCAAGTTGGAAGCTAGCAGAGGTTGGTTCATGAAGTTTAAGGAAAGAAGGCATCTCCATAACATAAAAGTGCAAGGTGAAGTTCAAATGCTGATGGAGAAAAGCTGTAGAAAATTATCCAGAAGATGTAGCTAAGGTAATCAATGAAGGTGGCTACTCCACACAACGGAGTTTAAGTGTAGACAAAACAGCCTTCCACTGGAAGAAGATGCTATCTAGGACTTTCATAGCTAGAGAGGAGAAGTCAATTCCTCGATTCAAAGCTTGAAAGGACAGGCTGACCTTCTTGTTAAGGGCAGGTGACTCTTGTTAATGCAGGTGGTGACTTTAAGTTGAATGTAGGGCTCACTTACCATTCCCAAAATCATAAGGCCCTTAAAAGTTATGCTAAATCTGCTTTGCCTGTGCTCTGTAAATGGAAAGACAAAGCCAGGATAATAGCACATCTGTTTACAGCATGATTTACTAACTATTTTAAGCCTACTGTTGAGACCTACTACTCAGAAAACATAGGTTCCTTTCAAAATGTTACCCTTCATTGACAATGCACCTGGTCACCCAAGAGCTCTTATGGAGATATACAAGGAAATTAATATTTTTAGGCCTGCTACCATGACATCCATTCTGCTGTCTATGGATCAAGGAGTAATTTTGACTTCCAAGTCTCATTATTTAAGAAATACATTTCATAAGGTTATTGCTGTCATGTATAGTGATTCCTTTGATGGATCCAGGCAAAGTAAATTGAAAACCTGGAAAGAATTCACCATTCTTGATGCCATTAAGACCAATAATGATTCATGGGAGGAGTTCAAAATACCAACATTAATAAGAGTTTAGAATAAGTTGATTCTACTCTCACTGATGACTTTAAGGAGTTTATGACTACAGTTGAGGAAGTCACTACAGATATAGTAGAAATAGTAAGAGAGCTAGTATTAGAAGTGGATCTTGAAGATGTGACTGAATTTATGCAACCTCATGATGAAACTTTAAGGATTGAGAATTTTTTTCTTATGGATGGACGAAGAAAGTGACTTCTTGAGATAAAACCTATTCCAGGTGAAAATGCTATGAATATCATTGAAATAACAATGAAGAACTTACAATATTACATGAACTTATTTGATAAAACAGCAGCATGGTTTGAAGGATTGACTCCAATTTTGAAAGAAGTTCTATGGGTAAAATGCTATCAAGCAGCAAAGCATGCCACAGAGAAATCTTTTGTGAAATGAAGACTCAATAAATATGACAAACTTCATTGTTGTCTTATTTTAATAAATTGTTCCAGACACCCCAAATCAGCAATCACCATCCTGATCATTCAGCAGGTTGGTGAACATAAACATCAAGGCAAGGCTCCCCACCTCCAAAAAGATTATGACTCACTGAAGTCTCAGATGATCATTAGTACATTTTTAGCAATGAAGTATTTTAAATAAGGAATGTACATTATTTTTATTAAATATAATGTTACTGCACAGAATACACTACAGTATAGTGTAAGCATAACTTTTTGTGCATTGGGAAACAAAAAGTTGTGATTCACTTTATTGTGATATTTGCTTTATTGCAGTGGTCTAGGAAAAAAACCTGCAATATCTCTGAGGTATGCCTCATATTTCTATCTGTCTTATGGTCTCAATATTTATAGTTAATTATTAAATCTATCAGAAGTTAATATTGACATATGGTGTGCATGAGGACATAGCTTACATTTTTCATAGAAATAATGGGGTACCATCTTTCTCCTAGCAAATTGTCTTTTGTTTTTTCAAATATAATATGTGATGAGGATGTGAATAAACCGAATTTCTCATAATTGCTTGTAGAATATAAATTGGCTCAATCTTCATAAAGGGTAACTTGGATATCAAGGATCTCTCACATGTTGACCCAGTAGTATTACTTACAGTATTTCATCCAATGGAAGCAATTAGAAAAGATAAAGAAGCGTACACAAGGATCTGCATCACTACATGACTCATAACAGTGAGGAGTGGGAGCACAGTGTTAGGTAAAGGAACGTAAGTTTGTCATGCACACAGGCACCGAGGGCAAGAATGGGATTATAGAAATCAAGCAGTGCTGGACTTGGGTCTTGATTTTACCTCTTGCTATGTAGAGGAGCTGCTAATATGCAAAAGGTCCTTTTGAACTTTGGACAAAAATTTATTCAGAACTGAGTGGAAGCAGAACCCTAAGACTCTCCCCAAAAAGCAATAAGTATAATTTTCTTCTAACTTGTGGAAATCATTTCATTCCTTCAGAAGCTTTTAATTACTTAGAGGAGTTCTAAAGGGTCGACTGGGGGAGGGTGGTACATGCAAATCAGGGCAACCAAAACTGGAACTGAGAGAACCTTTTATAATTGAAGACAGATTAAAACAAAAATCATCTAGAAGACAAATCAGGAAAAAAAATGTACTTGACTGAAAATTCCCTCTCAAAACACACATCTGTAATGCAGGGTTGTTTAAAAACACAAGATGAAATGAAGAAAAACATCCCCTTGTACCCAAATGATGGCATATTTAGTAAGAAGCTCAGTTGACTAAATAAAGAATTAAAGCAGAATGAAATGAATCATAATAAAAAGAAACTGGGTCTCATTTTAAAGAAGGATTTCAAATAAACAAAAAAGACTCAGAAGAAAAGGGTATAAATACTCATGTTGGAAATTACACACAATTTACAATAAGAAGCACTAACAATATTATAGCACATTGGCAAAAAGGCAAGGATTAAAGCGATCACACTTGATCTCTGGATGAAAAAAAAGAAAATTGATAACAGGAGCTATTAGAAAAGAAGATGTGTATGACACCATTGTCATATGAACAATTTCATTTCATACAAGCTGGAAGATGGGAATAGGGTTGAAAGAATGAGAGAATGGTCAACCAAGATAAAGAACAGCTGTGTTGTGACTATTTCCCAATAATTCCCCATCCTGGTCTCTGACTTTTTCCTATCTATGTCTTCTGTTTCTCTTTCTCTTAAAAAATAAAGAGCAAAACCTATGGCAAAGGGCTTCATATTTCAGTGAAATGATACTGGATATTAAAATCTGAAAATTAGTTGTTTGACTAATAGCTGAATGAACTCTGTCTAACTGGAGAAGAAGAAGACTAACAGATGTAATAACAGTCTCCATTTATATAGAGGGCTTTAGGGAGTGATGATCAGCTGTTCACATTTTCTGCAATGGACCAAACAGGAAGCTTTGACCATAAATTATAACATAAATGACTTGGAGGATTTGGGTTAAATAGAAAGATTACTTGGCGGATAGTGAGGGCTGTAAAATAATGAAATAACTCTACTGAGTAGATGGTAGATTTTCCTTTCTGGAGATGATGGGTAAAGAATAGGTTCACCTGTCAAGGTGATGGAGGCAGGGCCTACCAATGACTCATAATGGTCTCAGTGGGGTTCTGTACGTTCAAGTTCACCAAAGCAGCCTCTATCTTTAATTCCTAGGAACTGAAGCAAATGCCTAAATCCTTTGCAGCCTCAGCACAACTTTGTTAATTTGGGTTGTAATGAATTTTAGCTTAAAACAACAGACAAAAACTGTAGGGACTGCTAAATGTAATTACATAACTAAAGAGTGCTAATACAGCCTAGAAATATTAAAGTATTTCAAAGCATGTTTAATGACAACAAGGGCTAGGTAAAGATATATTTCTGTCAGGTAATTATTAACAAAATGGTTTAGGAGTATTCTCAGAGCACTGGGATGCAACATTATAAGTTGGTTACAATTTTCATGCCCAGTGTTCACAGTAGTTAAGGCATTTGAGGTGGTGTAACACTACAACATTGCTAATGAGTCATTATTTCTAGAGCAATTATTTTTAAGTGATTAAGATGCATTGTACTGCTGTGACACAACTGATTTTACATTTACTTTCTCAATAGTCTCCTTGCTTTTCCCACTTCATCCCCTCTCCCCCTGCCCCATTCAAAAGCATATTAGACTCTGTTTTCCTGAGAGGAAAAAAAGATCGTCTAATAATTACCAAATGTATGCCATCTCTTGAGAGAAACACAATGCATTAGGCTAGTGGCTCCTAAATCCTTTGTTTTGTTTTGTTTTTTGTAGTTGCAACTTTGAGGTTTACAACAGAATTAGACAGGATACATATAGACAGTAAAATGGTTACTACAGTGAAGCAAATTAACATATCTATCATCTCAGAGAGTTACGTGTGTGTGTGTGTGTGTGTGTGTGTGTGTGTGTGACAAGAGCAGCTGAAATCCACTTGACAAAAATTACTAACACAATTTTATTTCTATAGTCTTCATGCAGAACATTAGCTTTCCAGACTGGTTCATCCTGCATATTTGCTACTTTGTATCCTTTGACCTATATCTCCTCATTTCATCCCCCACACCCTGGGTAACCACTGTTTTATTCTCCACCATCAGGGAGTTAAGGCAAGTATAAGGATTTTGAATAGGATAATGTATAAACTTAAAACCTAAAATGTGCAAGTTTATTATAGTGTCGTCAATAAATTTCAAAAAGTCATTAAACTACTGAGTTCTAATACACCTGAATGACAATAAATGAATATTAATCTATTCATAGATAGCCTTCATTCAGCATGGTGCTTGCTAAACCCTGTAGAAGGCATTGTATAAAATTGTTATGATGTGGTCTTTGACCTTAAGGACCTTAAAATCAAAGCTCAGATACAGGATAAACTAATCTAGGAAGCTATCGCCTCTGCAACCTTGGATACATTATTTAACCTACTTGAGACTCAATAATAATGAAAGCACAAAAACAATTAGGGCATCTACCTCTGAACATGGATATAAAGACTAAAACAATGCATAGAAACTGTTTGGCATGGAAAAAGCATTTCCACAAATTTTATCTATAAATGTAAAATAATTATATTTATTTTTATTTATGTTTATTATTATTAGGCATCACACGGTAAGTACCAATAATGTATGTTATAAGACCTGAAATTGGCCAGGCATGGTGGCTCACTCCTGTAATCCCAGCACTTTGGGAGGCTGAGGCAGGCAGATCACCTGAGGTCAAGAGTTCGAAACCAGTCTGGCCAACATGGTGAAACCCCATCTCTACTAAAAATACAAAAATTAGCTGGGCATGGTGATGCACACCTGTAATCCCATCTACTTAGGAGGCTGAAGCAGGAGAATCGCTTGAACAAGGGGGCAGAAGTTGCAGTGAGCTGAGATCGCACCACTGCACTCCAGCCTGGGCGATAGAGCAAGAATCCGTCTCAAAAAAAAAAAAAGAAAAAGAAAAAAAAAGAAATCCTGAAATAAGGAAAATGATTGGAAGCTGAGGCAGCCATTGCAGAGAAAATGAGCTAATGAGCTACAAGTTAGGTGATGAAAGATATACCAGATTTTGCTAGATACAGTGTTTAGCCTGGAGGGATAACCAGTCAGCATGGAGTAGTGTGAGCACATGACCAGAACCAGGACATATTGGTAAGATGAATAGGTCAACTTGACTGGTAAGCAAATGTGTTGAGATTTAAACCTGGTGAAGGATGGATGAAAGTAAACAATAGTTGACTTTAAATTCCAGGCTTACTAGTTTGTATTTTATCCATTGAAAACTTCAGAGCATAATTATGACATAATACACACAGAATGCTAAAATTATAAGGGATTTAAGTCTAATCAAGGAGCCACAAACTCAGACGCATAGAGGGCAGGCTTATGACCTCTGTAGTATGAGGAGTAGGTTCAACATAAGACAAAAGGGAATGGTGGGGAATGTGGTGAACTACAGAAAACCCTCCATCTAGATAAGGTATCAATTTCCCAGCTTTAGCTTATTGTTACCTGTGGGAAAGAAGGCCCAGTGTTCATGCTCTTTAGATTTTTAAAAAGATAATTAGGAAGTCTAAATTTTAAAACGAAATGTCCTAATTTTAAAAGTATTGTGTTAGTCAAATAAAATAGTTATATGAATTGGTCTGTCCTGAGGGCTAATGTTAAGCAGCCCTTGATAAAATCTGGAATTTGTAATGTGGTATAAAAGCCTCCGAGAAACTAAGTGATTCACCCTAATTGAAACAGAGAGTTAGCTAGAGGTTAGCAATGGCAACTCTACCCAACACCAAACTAAAACTCACTGAAGGTTAAGGATTTATTCCAGTCAGTATGGAACTGTATGAGTACATGGCCACAGCCAGGATATCTATGAGGTTTCAGAGCAACTTTTCTTTTACTAATACAGTACATTTCTTTGAATTTTAGATTATTTTTTCATCACAGCCTTAAATAATGTAGCAGATGAACACAGGACAGAAAAAAATGTTGTGAGTGTTAGCCCACTTTTCTCTGGTATCACTTCAGTAGAGAGGAAAGAACATGCCTTGGGTAGCTACCCAGTCACTTAGACTTGGGGACAAACACCAGAGTTGACCATTTTCTAGTCTTGTAACCCAAAGAGGTCAGTTTGCTTGTCTTTAAAATGGAAATAATGATGCCTAGCATATAGAGTTGCTGTCAGGATAACATGGAATTGGATAGCTTGATAACATGCTATCATGACCATTTGACTGACAGGGTCATGAAACTTGGTTTAAAAACATTGATTTAAGAAAGAAAGAGAAATATTGAATTAAGGATCAGGAAAGGATGTTCTGATGTGAGTACTTATGTTCAAGCGCCCTGGGAAGTGTAATTTAAAGCTCAAACATGATAAAAGCCAATTAAATTACTATTAAACTACTCTCCCATTCACCTAATGTAAGTAGGTGAAAATTTCATACTATGGTAAAGCAGAAGTAAGAATAGGTTATGCATGGTATTGTTAAGACAAATTGCTTTTATAATTCATTACAAGATAGAAGACTTGTGAGTTTAAGTCAATTTTCACAGTTCAGGAAACAAAGCAAGATTTGTAATAGAACAGGGAAGTTCTCCTGGATTTACAATTGTGTCTCCAAAAACACAGAATTATCATTTTGAAAAAGAGATGGGATAACATTTGGAACCAGGCTTGGAAATAAATCTGGACCTGGCATTTCCAGCTCTGTGACACTAGTATTTTATTAATTCCTCTAACTCTGTTTCCTTTTCTATGAAACTTAGATTAAAATGCCTGTTTTATTTCAGTGCCTGTGATAATTCAAACAAGAGGATATATATGAAGTGCTTAGAACAATCATTTGCAAATTATTGTTCAATATATGCTAACCACTCTTATCATCATTATTACAATCTATTTTAATACTCTGAGTGAGGTCAGGGGAAGCATGGTAGAATATTTTCTGCCATGACAAGAAAGACAAGAAAGAATGAAGCAAGAAAAATATCATTGCAAGAGATAGCAATTAATGCTTTAAAGACATGTATGCATGTATGATGATGTTTTCTATTAAAAGTATACAACTTATAACAGGTCAAATTAATGTTTATGCCTTCCTTTTACATAACTGGCAAGAATGCTCTGCCAAACAGTAGCCTCCATAACAATAAATAACATGTTAAATACACCTTTTGTTTCATCACAACAATTAGTATTCGACAAAAAGCAGGTAAAGTGCCCAAGAATATAAAGCAGTTTCTACATTTCTCCTGCACAGTCTTTATACTTATTTCTCTAAAACTGTTTGTTCTTTAAAGAAGAGATGCAAACCACACAGACAGATATACCACTTACATCCTTAGATTCATTTGAAAATAAACATCTAAGATTGATAACTTCCTAAGGTGGATATTAATCAATTTTCTTAATTCCGGATAACACGGTTTTATATTCAATGCATAATTACTGTAAGATTTAAGTAGATACTGAACTGGTAGCATTTATAGAACAAGTATTCATATGAAATGTTCAATAAAACTTTCCAGAATACTTTGAAGAACTAGGCCATGTGCAACAAGTTATATAGAGCAGAGTTATACACAGAATAGTTATACAGAGAAGAATACAATGTATAGGACAAATTACTGGACCACAGGGTGCATTTAATCAACAACTTACTTCAATTGGTTAGCACACTGCTTTAACAATGTGAGCCTGAATGCCTTTCAGAAGAATGTGGTTTCTGCAGTTTCTCTCAGTCTCCATCCTTTGCATCACACCAGATTCTCCTTACTTTGTAATATAACAAGCCCCAGTGGGTGTCTGAGTTTGCAACCCTGCTCACAAGATACTTGGTCTGCCTCATAGCAGGTATCAGCAGTCCAAGGGCAGAATCCTAACAAGGTTTTGAATGAATTAGTCTGATTCTTGCTTTTTATCATATCAACATATAAGAGTGTTTTGGAATTCGGCTAGCACAATTTATACTGTGAGCTCCCTCCATTTTTGAGGGAAATAAACTCATTTCCAAGTCAAATGGATAGATTTATGAGTTATCAGTGCAAAGGACAATCAAATTAGGTAAATAGCAGCATCTTTAAGAGATCTCAACAAGATAGTGAGAAGGTACTCTAAAATTCTGGGAGTCATGCACATGCTCTCCAGAGTCTAATTTAGCAATATGTCAATGAATTATAAAAAGGTGCATGCTTTTTAACTTTTATTGAAATAAAACAGTTTAAAACTTTTTATTGAAACATATGTCTGGAAAAGGGCTCAATGTATAAGCACAAACTAGATGAGTGTAGGGCCCAGAATTGAGTGACAGCACCCAGATGAAGATGAGTTATTATTTCCAGTACCTCAGAGTCCTCCCCATGGGCTCCCCAGAAACTGCTGTTCCCCGAGAGTCACCACACCGCTGACTGCCATAAACTTAGACTGGCTTTGCCTGTTTTTGTACTTCATATGAAAGGAATATTAATGTATGCTCCATTTTGTGTCTGGCTGTTTTTGTTCAATATAATCTTTGAGATTCACCTCGTACTTTATGGGGATGAGGAGATCATGTGTTTACACAGCAGAATCATATTACATTATGTGCCAAGGGCTTTGATGGTGTGCTCACAGGGATGCATACCAATCTGTATGCTCTTCAATGTGTGAGCAATTTGGAGGGATGATGCACAGTAGATACCAAAAAAATTCACAGATATAAGCTGTAACAGGTATTATGTGTTAAGAAGCACTCCAGAAAAAAATCCAATATTTCTTTATCTATAGATATATACATTGAGAAACATGTATATATCTACAGATAAACATCCAAGGTGTTAAACAAAATCACTTTTACTAATTTATACAGTAATTCCAGTAATTCTTTGGCAGTAGTTTTTTTGACCTCTGGCCATACGAAAGGAGAATTATGGCTAGGTGTGATGGCTCATGCCTGTAATCCCAGCACTCTGGGAGACTGAGGTGGGCGGCCTGCTTGAGCCCAGGAGTTTGAGACAAGCCTGGGCAATATGGCAAAACCCTGTCTCTACTAAAAATACAAAAAAAAAAAAAAAATAGTCGGGCAAGGTGGTGCTTGCCTGTAGTCCCAGCTACCCAAGAGACTTAGGTGGGAGGATCCTTTGGGCTGGGGAGGTTGAGACTACAGTGAGCTGTGATCCTGTCACTGCACTCCAGCCTGGGCAATGGAGTGATACCCTGTCTCCAAAAAATAAAAATAAAAATAAAAGAAAAAGAAATATAAAACAGAATTATGCTTATTATTTTTATGAATTACCCTCTTCTCATCAATTCTTGATTACTTACCAAATAAACATTCATTCAACTTTATTAAAATTGTCCCTAAAAATACATTATTAATTTATTTACAGGTTCTTTCCTATTGGAAGAACCCTGCAGGATGATTCTCTGTTAATATTCAATATTGAAAAATAATTTATAAAGTAATTATCTTCCTATGTTTCTGTGAAAATATCATTCATCTGTCAATCCTTTACAAAAAAGAGTTAAACTTCTTAGAAAATGTTATAGATTTCCTTAAAACATGCTAAATCTCTGTCTCAATGTTTAATATTTATTTATCATGATGAAAATATTACCGAAATGTCTCATTATCTTTTCCTATGTATTCGAATTTTAGTGTAATATTTTCAAAGAAAAAGCACCATGGAAGGATTTCTAAATATTAAAATAATGTATTGTGGATTTAGACAAAATGTGCACCCAGGTATCACTCTGATGTAAATATCAGGGCTAAATTCAGCTCATGAACTGAGAAAATGTTAATATTATATGGCTTACATTTATTATTCTATCAACTGACACTTTGTAACCAACAGTTCAGAAAATTTTCATTGCAATAATAAATGCTATTTATTTGTAGTCAAGACCTAAGAACTCAAAAATTCTAAATTGATTTCTAGGTTATCAAAAAGACAAGTAAATGCAAATTTGATCATGTACTCTCTGATTAAAATTATCAGTGACATCCCTTCCCCTAAAGATAAAGTCCAGGCTCTTAAAAATTACTAACAAAAGACTCTTCTTCCCTCTCTAACCTCTCTCATTTCTCATAGTTCTCCAGCTCATAGCCCATGTTCCAGCCTTTCTCAAAATCTTTTACTTACCTTTCTTCCTTTACTTTCATTCATCACATATGCTGTTCCCTCTACCTGGAATCCCCTTCCCTCTGCTCTTCTTCACACTCTACTTTATCTGGGTAACTCTAAGTCTTTAAGTTGTCCCCTATGTCTCAGTGTATTTGTCACCCCCTCCCCATCACCTCGTAAGCATACACCAAACAGATTATTTAGAAATGTATTTATTTATTTTTTACACTTCCTCATCTGATGGGACCTAGGTGCCCTAGGTAGCTAGGTATCCTGGAGGCAAATAAGCTATTATAACTATTTTACAAATGAGGCCACAGTGGCCAATGAAATCAGATGATTTTGCAGGAGGGAACTAGAAATCTGGATATCAGTCCACTATATCCACACTAGTGAAAAGTTCTCTCCATATTGCGACTCTGGTTTGATGAACAAGCATGTCCCATTCCCCAGCTGGGTCAGAAGTCAGGTTACTATCATTATCACAATGCGGTGTTATATAGAGATGTCTGTGTTTCCAAAGCCTTAAAATGTTCATACACATTGACCCAGGAATATGGGTCTAGTTATTATTATAGATTTTTTCTCTCTTCTTAAAAATAGCACTTTATTTTCCTTATGAAAATTATACCAGTTTTGAAAAATCTAGTCAATACTAAAAATTATAATCAAAAAATGGAAAATCAACAAGAAGGTATCAATGAGAACATTAAAATAGTAAAAAGTTGGAACACACTTAAATATTACAAAGCAGATTTTTGGCCAAATACAGAATTATACACAAATATGGTAGATTATGTAGCCTTCAAGATAAAACTGCACAAAAAGGAATAAATATTCACCACATAATAAGTGAATAAAGCAAATTATTAAATGGACATATAATCACAATTTTCTGTGAAAATAAAAAAACATTTATTCAAAGAATATAGAAGGAAATTCTGCCTAACCTGTTAGTGATGAGTATTTCTAAAGGTATAATTATAGGATATTTTTTTCTAACAGTTAACATTTTAAAATTATTTACATTCCAAATTTTCTAGGATGAACATGTGTTATTTAGGTAACCAGAAAGGAAACTCTTACTGTTATTAAAAGGAAGTGAGAGGGAAGAGGGCGGGAAAGAGAAAAATACAATTTTTAAATAAGTTAGTACAGGATGGTGGGCAGAGGGCCCAATAATGGCATCCATTGCCTCATATTTCTACAAGCACATAATTTTACATGAATGTCAACAATTTATGTTGCAAACCTTAGCAGCCCATCTAGCCTATAGATATAGTAGACGTGGAACAGTAATATCCTAAGTTGAATAAATATATCAGCAAAACTTCTTGCCTACAATATATGTGGCTTGAATTTAAATTTATAGATTTTGTTTTCTTTAACATAGGAGCTATAACTAATAAAGCTAATCATTCACACATTATGTATCTTCCAATATAAAGAGGATCTTTTTGTCAATTATAATATTATGATTTCATAGAAAGATAAAGGTAACAGGGGCAATACAGAGTAACTGTTATAATTTCAGGGGTCAAAGAGACTTGGATCAAATATTTAGCTCTACCATTGCCCTCTGTGTGACTTTAGGAACATTGCTTAATCTTTCTGAGATTCACTTTCTTCGTGTGTAAAAATAGCCACCTCTTGGATTGAAAAGCTTGTAAAATATTTAGTATAGTGCATGGCAGAAAATAACTACTCAAGAAACATGAATTAAAACAAATGATTGGAAGCTGAGCACAGTGGCTCACACTTGCAATCCCAGCACTTTGGGAGGCCAAGGTGGGTGGATTACGAGGTCAGTAGGTCGAGACCAGCCTGGTCAGCATAGTGAAACCCCATCTCTACTAAAAATACAAAAAAATTATCTGGGCATGGTGGCACACATCTGTAATCCCAGCTACTAGGGAGGCTGAGGCAGGAGAATTGCTTGAACTTGGGAGGCGGAGGTTGCAGTGAGCTGGGATCTCACCACTGCACTCCAGCCTGGGTGACAGAGCAAGACGCTGTCGAAAAAAAAAAAAAAGAGAGAGAATGATTGAGGGAGGTGGAGCAAGAGCAAGATGGCAGAATAGAGAGCTCCACTGATTGCTCCCCTCACAAGGACACCAAGTTAACAACTATCTACACAGAAAAATATACTTTCATAAGAACTAAATATCAAGTGAGCATTCGTAGTACCTGTTTTTACCTTCATATTGCTGAAAGAGGCACTGAAGAGATGGAAAAAAGAGTTTGAATTGCTAGCGCCACCCCCTCCCCATCCCTAGCTGTCTTAGAGTAGTGCTGAGAGCATCTCTGGTTGCTGGGGAAGGGAGAACACAGCAATTTTGAGGCACCGAATTCAGTGCTGTCCTGTTAGAATAGAAAGGAAAACCAGACCAAACTCAGCTGATACTTGCCCACAGAGAAAGCATTTAAACCAGCCCTAGCCAGAGGGGAATCACGGATCCCAGCAGTCCAAACTTGAGTTCCCATGAACCTTGCTCTCAAGGGCTACAGTACTCTGAGTCTCCAAGTAAACTTGAAAGGCAGTCTAGGCCATAAGGACTGCAACTATTTTGTGAGTCCTAGGGCGGATTTAGGCCCAGAGACAGTGGACTGAGAGAGGGTATGTGACATACTGAGACAGCAGCTGGGACAGTCAGTGGAGTGTTAGCATCACCACCCCTCCACCCAATCCCAGGCTGCACAGCTTGTGGCTCCAAAAGAGACCCCTTCCTTCTGCTTGAGGAGAGGAGAGGAAGGAGGTGGGAGGGCTTGGTCTTGCATTATGAATACCAGCCCAGCCACAGCAGGATAGGCCACTGGTCAGAGTTATGAGGCCCCCATTTCAAGCACTAGTTCCCAGACAACATATGTAGACACATCCTGGGACAGAAGGGAATACCTCGCCTTGAAGGAAAAGACCCAGTCCTGGCAGCATTCATCACTTGCTAACTGAAGACCCTTTGGGCCCTGACTAACCAGCATTGATACCCAGGTACTACACTGAGGACCTTGGGTTATCCTTTGAATCTTGCTGGCGTCAGGTAACAGCATAGCCACAGGAGAGCAGAGCACCAAGTGGGCTCTTGGGGTCCCCTATTCCAGGACCTGACACTTGGACAGCATTTCTGGACCTGCCCTGGGCCAGAGGGGAGTCCACTACCCTGAAGGTTGAGTCCCAGGCCAGGCAGCATTCACCACAAGCTGACTTAAGAGAACTTGGACCTTAGGAGAGCAATGACAATAGTCTGGCAGTACTCCTCATAGCCTGGGGTGGTGTGGGTAAGGGTGAGGCTATCCTGCCATTGGATAAGGGGAGGGAAGGGTAGGAAAGACTGTGTCTTATGGTATGAGTGATAGCTCAGCTGCAACACAACAGAACACCAGGTAGACTTCTAAGGTTTTTGGCTCCAGTCCCTGAGTACTGCAAGGCACTTCTGGACCCACCTGGGGCCTGGAGGCCTTGCTGCCCTGAAGGGAAAGATGCAGGCCCAGCTGGCTTTGCCACTTGCTGATTGTAGAGGGTTAGGGCCTTGAATGAACCAAGGCAGAAGCCAGGGAGTGGCTACAGCAGGCCTTGTCCAAGACCCAGCATTGTCCTGGCTTTAGGTTTGACCTAACACAGTCATAGTGGTGGTGGCAACAGGGGTGCTTGTATCACTCCACCCCCAGCTTGAGGTGCTAAGAACAGAGAAAGAGACTTTGTATGTTTGGGAGAAAGTAAGGGAAGAGAACAAGACTCTGCCTGGTAATCCAGAGAATTCTCCTGAGTCTGGTCTAAGACGATCAAAGTGGTACCTTTACAAGTCTGCAAGAACCACATCATTACTGGACTTGAGGTGCTCCCTCAAACACATACAGCTTGGATCACAACATGCAAATCATTTCAAACATCTGGAAAGCCTCCCCAAGAGAGACAGCTACAAATAAGTCCAGACACTGAAGACCAGAATACACAGCTAACTCCTAAATGTCCACATGCCAAAGAACATCTATTGGCATGAACACCATCCAGGAAAACATGACCTCACCAAATGAATGAAATAAGTCACCAGACACCAATCCTGGAGAAAGAGAGATGTGTGACCTTTCAGACACAGAATTCAAAATAGCTGTGTTGAGGAAACTCAAAGAAATTCAAGATAACACAGAGAAGAAGTTCAGAACTCTATCGGATGAATTTAACAAAGAGATCAAAATAATGAAAAAAGTGTCAAGCAAAAATTGAGTGGAAGAATGCAATTGGCATACCAAAGAATGCATCAGGGTCCCCTAATAGCAGAATGGATCAAGCAGAAGAAGAAATTAGTGAGCTTGAAAACAAGCTCTTTGAAAATACATAATCAGAGGGGACAAAAGAAAAAAGAACGGAACACACTGACATATGCCTACAGGATCTCTCAAACAGCCTAAAAAGGGCAAATCTAAGAGTTATTGGCCTTAAAGAGGAGGTAGAGAGATAGGAAGAGAAAGTTTATTCAAAGTGATAATAATAGAGAACTTCCCAAACCTAGAGACAGATAATATCCAAGTACAAGAAGGTTATAGAACACCAAGCAGATTTAACCCAAAGAAGACTAATTCAAGGCATTTAATAATCAAATTCTCAAAGGTCAAGGATAAATAAACAATCCTAAAAGCATCAAGAGAAAAACAAACAAATAACAATGACACTCCGATATGTCTGGTAGCAGACTTTTCAGTGGAAACCTTACAGGCCAAGAGACAGTGGCGTGACATATTTAAAGTGCTGAAAGAAAATAACTTTTAGGCTAAAATTGTGTATCCAATGACAATATCTCTTAAACATGAAGGAGAAATAAAGACTTTCCCAGATGAACAAAAACTGAGGGACTTCATCAATGCCAGTCCTGTCTTACAAGAAATGTTATAAGGAGTACTTCCATCAGAAAAAAGGCCAATAATGAGCAATAAATGATCACCTTAAGGTAAAAAAAACTCACTGATAATAGAAAGTACAAAGAAAAACACAGAATAGTATAACAATGTAACTGGGGTGTGTAAGCTACTCTTTTCCTAAGTAGAAAGGCTAAATGATGAATCAATAAAAGTAATAACTACAACAACTTTTCAAGACATAGTCAGTACAATAAGATATAAATAGAAAAAACAAAAAGTTTAAAAGTAGGGGGACGAAGCTAAAGAGTAGAATTTTTATTAGTTTTCTTTTTGCTTGTCTGCTTGTATGCTTACGCAAATAATGTTAAGTTGTTATCAGGTTAAAATAATGGGTTATATGATGAGAATACATGGACATGTGGTGGGGAACAACACACATGAGGGCCTGCCATTGGTGGGGGTAGGGGGAGGGAGGGCATAAGGAAGAATAGCTAATGGATGCTGGGCTTAATACCTAGGTGATGGGTTGATCTGTACAGCAAACCACAATAGCACATGTTTACCTATATAACAAACCTGCACATCTAGCACATGTACTCTGGAACTTAAAAGTTGTAGAGAAGAACAAAATAAAGACAATCACATAAAAATGGGTTAAAAAATACTATTTGCAAGCCTCATGGTAACCTCAAACCAAAAAAAAAAAAAAAAACAAAACACATACCACATATACACAAAAAATAAAAAGCAAGAAACTAAATCATATCCAGAGAAAATCACCTTCACAAAAGGGAGACAGGAAGGAAAGAAAGAAGAGAATACCATAAGCAACCAGAAAATAAATAACAAAATGGTAGGAGTAAGTCTTTATTTATCAATAATGACATGAATGTAAATGGATTAAACTCTCCAATCAAAACACATTACTGGCTGAATGGATGAAAAAACAAGACTCATTGATCTGTTGCCTACAAGAAACGCACTTCAACTATAAAGACACATATAGACTGAAAATAAATAAATGAAAGAAGGTATTCCATGCCAGCGGAAACCAAAACAGAGCAGTAGTAGCTATACTTATACCCGACAAAATATATTTCAACATCAAAACTACAGGAGACAAAGGTTATTATATAATGATAAAAGGTCAATTTAGCAAGAGGATATAATAATTGTAAATACATATGCACCCAACATTGGAGCACCCAGATACATAAGGCAAATATTATTAGAAGCAAACAGAGATATAGGCCCCAATACAACAAAAGACCCAGAATAGCCAAAGTTATTCTAAGTTATTCTAAGCAAAAAGAACAAAACCAGAGGAATCACATTACTTGACTTCCAAATATATTTACAGTACTCTAGTAACCAAACAGCATGGTACTGGCATAGAAACAGACACATAGACAAATGGAGCAGAATAGAGGCCCCCGAAACAAATCCACACACCTACAGTGAACCCATTTTTGACAAAGGTGCCTATAACACTTACTGGCGAAAATACAATGTCTTCAATAACTGGTGCTGGTAAAACTGTATATGCATAAGCAAAATACTAAACTAGACCCCTATGTATCACCATATACAAAAATAAAATCAAAGTGGATTAAAGACTTTAAAACTTCAAACTATGAAATTTCTACAAGAAAACATTGGGGAAAATCTCCAAGACATTGGTCTGGGCAAAGATTTCGTGAGCAGTACCTGCAAGCACAGGCAACCAAAGCAAAAATAGACAAATGGGATCACATCAAGTTAAAAAGCATCTGCACAGTAAAGGGTACATTCAACAGAGTGAAGAGACAACCCGAAGAATGAGAGAAAATATTTGTAAACTGCCCATCTGAAAAGGAATCAATAACCAGAATATATAAGGAGCTCAAACAACTCTTTAGGAAAAAGTCTGCTAAAAAATTGGCTAAATATTTGAATAGACAATTCTCAAAAGAAGACATACAAATCACAAACAGGAATATAAAAAGATTCTCAACATCTCAGATCATCAGAGAAATGCAATTCAAAACTACAATAAGGTATCATCTCAAACCAGTTAAAATGGCTTATATCCAAAAGACAAGCAATAACAAATGGTGATGACGATGTGAAGAAATGGGAATCCTTATACACTGCTAGTGGGAATGTAAATTAGTATAACCACTATGGAGAACAGTTTGGTGGTTCCTCAAAAAACTAAATATAAAACTACCATATGATCAGCTATCGCACTGCTGGGTATATACGCAAAGGAGGAAATTTGTGTATCAAATAGATTTCTGTACTCCTATGTTTGTTGCAGCACTGTTTACAATGGCTAAGATTTGGAAGCAACCTAACTGTCCATCAACAGATGAATGAATAAAGAAAATGTGATACCTATAAACAATAGAGTCCTATTCAGCCACAAAAAGGAATAAGATCCATTCATTTGTAACATGAATGGAACTGGAGATCATTATGTTAAGTGAATTAAGCCATGCAGAGAAAGACATACATCTCATGTTCTCACTTATTTGGGGAATCCAAAAATCAAAACAATTGAACTCATAGACATAGAGTGAAGAAGAATGATTACCAGAGGCTGAGAATGGTAATGGGAGGCTAACTGGGGTGGGAGGAGGGAGATGGGGACGGTTATTGCGTACAAAAATAGAAAGAATGAATAAGACCTATAGGGTGACTATAGTCAATGGTGACTTAATTGTACATTTTAAAATAACTTAAACAATGTAATTGGATTGCTTGTATCTCAAAGGATAAATATTTGAGGCTATGGAAAACCCATTGCCCATAATGTGTTTACTTCACATTTCATGCCTCTATCAAAACATCTCATGTATCCCATAAATACAAATACCTACTATGTACCCCTACAAATGTACTTTTTTAAATAAATAAAATAAAAATGGAATGATTGAATAAGCATATGAATGAATGAAAAAAATAAAGAAACATGTAAGTAAGTAAAGTATCATGAGCAAAAGTATATGCTTTTTGTCAACTTGGGGGAAATTAGTGATGATGAGGTACCCACTCTCGTGCAGAATCTTCCACCAGGACACTGAAGCAGCCCTTTTACTGGCCTGTAGCCATATGGAAAACTTAATGGAAACCAAACCATGCTGTCCTCCCTGTGGAGTTGTAACTGACAGCATCAGGGATCTCCTCTTGTCAGCACAGAGAAACAGAGGTATGTGCCCATTCCTACTGCTAAGCAATATGCCTGCTGTAATGCTGAGCAGCACTGTCCTGGGGACCCATGGACTCCACAGGTGGCAGCCATTCAGTGACCACTACCTGGGTCAGGTTGCAAAGAATTCCCAGCCACTGACACTCAATCTGCTTTACCCTGCCATTGCATTCCCTCATTCCCTTTTCAATTCTCTCTCTCTCTCTTTCTTTTTTTTTGATCTCAGAGTCCCCTTCTAGCCCTGTGACATGTTCCCCCATCTGTTCATGCAGATGGTGCTACCCAAAGACATCAAAAAGTCTAGTGTCCCCAAATCTCTCTTGATTCAGTTGGTCCCCTTTACCACAGAGCAGTGGGAAAAATAAGAAAATGAAAGCCACATTTTGAAGCACAGAGATGTCATGGCTCATATGAGGAATACATTCACGTTCAGTACCTGGTTTGAAGTAAATGCTATCTACAGAGGTAAGCCCTTACCCTGATGTTCTCCTGAACATAAAATTGTGTCTGCAATAACTGGATAGCACCTAGAATACAGAATTACACCCTCCCCTCCCTGCTTCCTATTCTTCTCCCCCACCAAATCTTTGTTGTCAGCAACTACAACAATGATCTATTTTAAATTTAGTTATATGTATATTTTACACTCTGTTCTATCCATGCCTACAGAAACTGACAACTTGCAAGGATAAAATAGCTTTTTGTAATTAAGGAACATTGTCACTGAACAATAATAATTTCAACAACAATAACACTTTTTCATAATTTTAAAATACTACAAGTAACAAAGGTGAGCCAAGGATCCCATTTATGATAGAACAAACAGAAGTCCGAACAGGATACTAAAAAATCAAAATCACAAGAAAGGAAAGTGGCCTAGGGATATAGCCTCTTCCTTGTCTAAGATGCGTGAGATTTTCACAATAAAATAAATATTCAACCTAAAACCTATTTAGTGACACAGATTTTATTCAGCTCCATAAGTCAGTCCAGAGTTTGAGGTTCCCCAAATCAGAATCTCTGATAATCCATATTATTTGGAACTTGGTCTTTCAGATTAAAACCTGTTTTTCTCCTGCTTAGAATTTAGGCAAAGTTCATTTTCACACCTGTGTTGTTGTTCTCCTCTGTTTTTTCAGTTCATAGCTCTGCCCAGCCCCTGGCCACCCATGTGGTGGACACAGCATTTTTCTCCTCCTTGGTAACTTCATCTGCCATCAAGTAAGGGCCAGACATGTGGTTTGTCTCATGCCATCATCAGGGGTAATGACCAATGAGTAGAGCAGTAATTTAGGGAGGCTCCATAAATTAACCCTTAATGAATCATCTTAGTGTATCAGTAAGAAATATAATTTATTCACACACTAAATTAGCTAAGAAGAGCCAATTTGGGTGGGAAAAAGCATTTCTCATTATCACATCATAAGCCTTGTTTACACTGGTATATGACTAATCCTCATGTTATGTCTAACTTCCCAAAGGGAAAATCAATGTATAGGTCCAGTCAAAGGGGCTTAAATACTTAATATTTGGGAAAAAATACTGTTCTGAGGAAATGCATTTTCTTTTTCCCCAGATAGTATTCTCCTTTCATTCCTTACACACATGTGCATGCACATGCACAGAAACACACATTCCCTCTGAAGGATAGGCAAGATACTCCAAATTACATAAAGACATACCCTATGCCAATGAAATAATATGATACCACTGCTCTGCAATCAATAAAAAGTTACATACATTTTAGTCATATAACATTTGATTATCATGAATAAAAGAGAACATCCCTTTGAACTTAGCTGTAATGAAGTTCTGAGACATGTTTCTGAAAAGCACTGGCTCTCACTAGAAAGGGTTTTCTCATTGACTCATTCTATGCTAGGAGGCTAATATGGGTCACTTAATTCTACCACAGTACAATTCCCTCTACTTTGACATTTCTGTTTATCTTTGAGAATATCGCAGTGATTGCAAATGATAACATAACATAAGAAAATGCCATGCCAATGGAAATTTTAACACGGTCAACTCATATTTGCACTTAATTTATAATTTGGGAAACTGAATTCATGACAATTGCTGATCTTATCTTTAAAATGTCTTCTTATCAGCTGTTGAAATTGACATCACCTGAAGCACAGTCTCACTACTAATGAAGTTTCTTACCAATACAGTGAAATGCCACACGTTTTCTACTAGATGGGACAATCAGATTTTTTTCACCTCATTTAAACATAATAGTCTTTGATAATTGGGTTTTAAATAATATCAGTTTGATTTAATGCTTCTCTTTTTACTCCTCTTAATTTACCTCAGTATGCAAATCCATTGTTTGACCCTATTTTGTATGAATTGCATTCATTGACAGACAGAGTAATAAATCAATTTAAGGTAAACCCTGCAGAAACCTCAGATCCCACAAACTGATAAACAGAGTCAGGAGTCAGACTGATAAACTAGAAAAGTGCTGTGGCGAAACGGCAATTACTCATTCATGCGTACATATATTCATTCAGCAAATTTTTTAAATTGGCTCTTGTAGGATGTGCACTCCTCAAGATGCTGGGGTATAAACAGTTGGGGAAAAAGCAGAGGTTTCTACTCTCACAGAGCTTATATTCTAGTGGTGACAGGCCATTAAATAGTAAACAAATACATAATGCATATAGTTATAAAGAATAAAAAAGGCAGTGATATGAAAGAGAGGGAACATAAAGTTCAGGGTAAAGTAGTTGGCTTTCTCTTCTTGCAAGCACAGGAGTTTGTTCTGCCATTAGGACTACTGTATTTTCATTCTTTCTAACTGGAACACTCATTCCTCAGATCTGTGCTTTTTGAATGTAAACTAAAAATAAAATTCTAAGCCCCCCAATCCCCACCATCTGAATGGATCCCTCCTCTCAGCAAGGACATTCCAAAGTTAACCTGAAAAATCAGTTCAGGCCATGATGGGAAGGGGGAGTTGGACATGTCTCATTACAGCCTCCTCCCTTTTGCAATTACAAATAGAAGAGACTCTTTAAGTCTGATAAGAAACATTTACAATTTTCTCTCTGAAAGCTGCTATCTGGAGGCTTCATCTGCATGATAAAACCTCGGTGTTGAAAACACCTTATCACAACCCAGACATTCTTTCTATTGATAATAACTCTTTCAACCAATTGCCAATCCGAAAATATTTGAATCCATTACCTGAAAGCCTCCCGCTGCCCCACCCTTCTGGGCCAAACCAATGTCCATCTTACATGTATTAATTGATGCCTTGTATCTCCCTAAAATGTATGAAAACCAAATAGTGTCTTGACCACCTTGGGCACATGTTCTCAGAATTTCCTAAGAGATGTACCATAGGCCACTGATAACTCATATGTGGTGCAGAATAAATCTCTTCAAATATTTCACAGAGTTTGACAAAATCATCAATACCAACCTTTAGTGATGATATTTCAATTCAAATGTCACCTCCTAAAGTAGGATTACACTTTCTCCTCCAGTAACTCTTTATCATATTATTATGTTTAACTTCCACAATTCAATTCATCACAATTTATAAACCTTATCATTAACATTAAATATCTCTTTTGCTGGTAGTTTATATCTTTCCTTCTCCAAGTACAAGCTTATGGAGTAAGGATTATATGTAGCTTATTCACTACTGTACCTTCTATCTTCCACCTAGAGCAACAAGAGGTGCTCACTCAGGACTTGACTGGATGGATTGATGGATAAATGAATTAAAGCTTCAGTGATTCACTTACCTGGAGTGTGCCTGTTTTATTAAACATAAATTAGAGTTTATTATTATTTTTTCTGGCTTCTTTCTGGAACACTGTACAGACATTCCTAATATTTAGGTAATCAAAGTGAATAATTGCATTCAGCTATTCCTCTTAAGAGAATTCTGAGTACGTCCCTGTCTGCTCTGCCACTTCCAACTGCATGCATGGGGTCATTTCTTCACATTCAACCCATTAAATCATCATGAAAGGCACAGACTTTGGAGTCAGGCAGACTTGGAACCTATCCCCATCTTTGACGTGTATACTAGTACAACTTTGAACAAGTTACTGAATTTGTCTAAGATTCAGTTCACTTTTCTTTAAAAATGCAATGATTTATTATTTACTTTTGACAAAATTCCTATAAGTTAAATAATACTATTTTGGATTGAGAGTCATTAGTTGACTTATGAAAGACACATGGCCCGTAAAACAACCCCTGTGTCTTTGACTCCAGATTTTGGCTCTTACTTAGCCTATCCTACCTCTCATCATCTGTTACATATTTTCTTCTCCCACTAGCCTCCAAGTTTTTGAGTCACAGAGACTGGATGTGTCATTTATCTTCCTGTATCTCCAAAGCCTGGCATGGTATTGATACATAATAAGAATTTACCACCACCATTTTCTCTTGCCAAAAAAAAAAGTCATCTCCCTCTTATCCTGATGAAAAATGCAGAAAAGGTCAAGGCTGGTACCAGCAGTGAGGCTAATAATAGCAACCAATCTTTACAAACAACTTATGTGCCAGGCACTTTAGTAAATTCTTTACAAGCATTTTTTTGTAGCTTAATCCCCTCAGTAATCCTACAAGATAGGAACTATTAAGCCCTATTTTACTGATGAGGAAACTGAAGCTTAGAAAGATAGAGCACAGCTAAAGGTATTGAAGCAAGGCAGTCAGGTCCACAACCCATACTCTTAACACATTGCAATACTGCTATTCTAAGTTTTGTGTTGTCTGGCCTCATTATGCAATGATGTAAAATGCACAGATGCCTCCTAGTATTTTTATGCCAGAAGATTTGTTCTTTATCCTGGTCTTTTCAATAGTTTCTCTTAGTTGTCAGCCTGTTACAGCTGCTAAAATATAAAGTCCTAATTATTTTCTCCATTATGGCTAGTGGGAACAATTCAACATGGAATTAGTATCTTTCTCTAGGGATTTATGGTCATTTAGCATTTTGTTGCCTTTTATTCTGTCCATAAGAGTGCAGATAATGAGCTACTTCTGAGAAGTAAAATAGCTTGAGCATTTTGTAAAGTGGTGAATGTGATTTGAGTCATTAACCTATTACACCGGTTTGGTTTTTCAAGGAAAAGCTTGCTTTATATGTGATCTCCAAAATAAGGAGACAGGAATGAGGTAGAAATCTTCCCTGAACATTCATTAGCAAAGCAAGTGATTAAAACTTTTACCAAAAGTCTTTTAACAAACATTTTTGGCAGTAACTTCCATAGGTTGTGTAATTTTTTAATCTTCTACCTATTTTTTTCTCCCCATGGGAAATAAGCCTGAAACTCCTGTTACTTATTATAGAAAACAAGTATAGATTTTCTTCATGTACTTTGGGATCCTTCCTAATATTCTGGTAGTCAGAGGTACTTTTCTAGTTGCTTGACAGTTAGAGAATAGCTATTGGTCCAGTACTCTCTGATTTCCCCTTTAGAATGATTATTGATGCTCAATATAGAATCAAGAAACTCAAAGGGATAATGATGTTTGTGCAGCCTTGAAATTAAAATGTACAGGTTATTTGGGTAATTTCTTCTTGAATTACAAAGTAAGAATTAAATTTCTTGGGGAGAGGAATAGTCGCTCATGCCTGTAATCCCAGCACTTTGGGAGGCCAAGACAGGAAGATCACTTGTGAAAAGGAGTTCAAGACCAGCCTGGGGAACATAGTGAGACCTTGTCTGTACCAAAAGTTTAAAAATTAGCCGGATGTAGTGGTGTGCACCTGTAGTCCCAGCTACTGGGGAGGCTGAGGTAGGAGGTTTGCTAGAGACCAGGGATTCGAAGCTGCTCTGAACTATGAGAACACCAGACTGGGAGGACAGAGTGAGACCCTGTATCTAAAAAAACTGAGTTTCTTCAATCGAGCAGAAAACCTGTGGGCAGGATAATTCTCTGGTGGCCTTCAGAGTCTCTGGGAGCCTTAGAAGTCATGCAGAGATATTTCCCTGCAGACCACTTTGCATGGCCTCCTAACTTCCAGTAAAGTTTTGTATCTTTGGCTAATTAAACTGAGGGTTAATCTAATCTTTCAATGGTCAGTTTTCCCTAATCTGGAGTTTTTTTGAAACTTAAAAACATGGTTGTATAACTGTGAAATAGAACAGATTTTCAAAATTTCTATACCTCAAATTACAAACTATATTGCATGTAGCTTTTACTTGGACTTGGTCGTTCAGAAAAGTGTAACAAAATGACCTTCCATGTGTAAGTAGTTGCATAAGAGAAACCCCTTTAAGAATAATAGATAAAAGGAATTATCATATTAAGTTACACCTGAGGAATGTACTTTATGTGCTGTATTTATAAGAAAAGCAATGGGCCAGCCAGAAACAGTGCATCAGTCCATATTGTGGAGTCTTGTTTAAAACTAATAGAGCCATATTCATCCATTAATGAATGATGACTAAGACATCTCTCCAGAGGGGAATCTCTTTAGAGGGGAGATGAATGAATACTCAGTTCTTTTTAAGGGACCTTGGAAATCTAGACTCTTCAGTCTTCTCCATCCATCAACACTTTCAGTACCTGCTTTCTCAAGAGTCTTTTGCATTCATTTACTTGGATGAAGATTGCATTCTTTCAGACTTTGAGTAAGTGACTTAGATCATGGGTTTTGAGTTCAATCTGAGCCCTGAAACTCATTAGCAAGTTACTTATTCCCCCAAAGTCTCAGTTTCCTCAGCTATAAAATGGACATAACAATAGCTTGTTTCACAAAATTGTTTGATGTAAATGAGATAATTCAGGACTTGACATATAAAAGTATCCAATAAAGGTTACTACTACTACTACAACTGACTCAAGTATTCATTTGCATTTGCTTTGAATGTCTTTATCTAATTAAAACTCTGCTTTAAGTGAACTCATTATACTAGTCTAACTCTGTATGTTTCCCATTTGCCAAGTAAGCTGCCAGCAAAAGCTGCCAACAAAATTTACCGATTTCATGAAATCAAAGTGATGCAAAAGTTACTCCAAATGTAATTAGAGAAAACTTAATCATTAAACCAACGCTGAGAACAATCTGCATTATTTCAAGGCTTGAAACAATGGAAGTCTCTTCTGTTGTTTTTCAGTCTAAATGTAAGACAAATGAAAAAACCGTGCCCTTATGGGTGTGTGTACTACACATATACAAATATATACAAACATATCTACAGACATATAGATATATATACACCTATACCTATAAATGAAGATACACACACACACATGCACACACACAATAGCAACAATTTTAAACATCTACTGGGAAATACTTTGCTAAAAAAAAAATAGAGTAAAATGAAGACCTGGCTTCTTTCCACGTTCACAGTATTCTGGTGACTCAGAAGGTTCACTCCTAATGAAATCAGGAACATGCAAGTACTACCTTTGAATGTACTATGTATATCAATGCTATATATAGATATTTTCAAAAGCCCATTAATAAAATATCCTCAATGGATTTCAATAATTTTCCTCTTTGCAGACAAGGTCTACTTCCATAACACTACTGTACACATTCTTCAGGCCTGCAATATAAAATCCCTACATTTCTTGGAAGCGCAGCTGGCTTCTTCCCTACTTCAAAACCTCTGGAGTCTCCAGCCATTCCTCTTTCCTAAAGCAATCCCCTTCACAACTTTGGTTTCAGTGCTGCCACAGCGAACTTTCATTCCGTTGAAATCAACAGACATGAGAACAACTAGGGACCCACGTAGCCAACAGTCAAGGAGATCCATTGGCTACCAGAACATGATGGGTCAGAAATATTTTAGAAAAAAAAGAAAAGAGGCAAACTTGCTTTTCCTCTTTAAGTGTTTTTTATTTAAAAATACAGTAAAAGGTTGCAACAAAATGAGCCCTGGATTATTTCCTAGGGTTGCTAAATACAAGTCTCTCCATTTCTAAGGCTGAAGAATGATGTATTTCTGATCCTGCTATTGTTGGCTTGGATTTAAATTGTTTTCTATCATCAGTCAGGCAAGGATGACTCCAAGTAACTAAATAACTCCAGCAGTAGCAGTAGCAACAATAATAACAAGCCCTGGGCTAAGAGTTAGGAGCTTGGGATTCTGCTCTGTGGTTTGCCATCGTCTCTAGGATGTTAGGCACAATTACTTCCCGCTCTGAGCCTCCCTTTTCCTTGCTATAAAAAAAGGAGGTGAACTTGAATATATCAGAAATTAATTCTAAATATATTTACTTTTAATCTTATAGGACAATCATGGAAAACATATTTTTTAAAAAGGTAATTGCAGTTCTTTAAAGAGGTTGCATTCTATAACAGCCTATCGTATGCATTTTTTTCACATACAGGT
Source organism: Homo sapiens (assembly GCF_000001405.40). Classification (NCBI taxonomy): domain Eukaryota; kingdom Metazoa; phylum Chordata; class Mammalia; order Primates; family Hominidae; genus Homo; species Homo sapiens. The sequence goes on from NC_000005.10 coordinate 161,450,879, forward strand.
GGAGACAGGTGCTTTGAAGACTGGCAAAATTTAGAGAATAGGTTCTCACATTCTGTCCAGAAGGACTCATATTCTTAATGAAATCTCTTTTGTTCTGCTTGACAAAATATATTCACTCAATATCTTTATGAAAATGAATTAGGAAATCTGAGTTAAAAATTGATATATTAATGTTTGATAAAATATATTTCAGTGTGAGATGACTACTCAGTCATCCTGTGGTAAAACTTTCAGAGTAGAGGAAGAGGATAAAATTAATAAAATCCTGCCTGTCTAAATTCATTACAGACTAACATTGTCTTTTGCCATTTTACCAATGACAGAACATACAAAGCAGGAGGTGGTTGAATTACCTTCTGCTTCCTGCTGAATCTTTCTTTAAGAATGTGAGCATTTAATCAGAAGTGACAAGTTTCTGATCTAATGTTACATATGGGAGGTGTATACACATGTGAAGTCAAGGTGTCCCCCCTTATGCAGAAAGACAAACAATTGTTTTTAGATGGGTCAGCTACAACTGAGAACATAAGAAAGTCATTCCTTCCATAAGAACTGTCCCAACAAAATCAGTAGGAGTATATACCCTGAGCCATTTCTTCAACTAATGAGACTATAAATTACAACAAGACAACTATAAGATTATAAATTGTGTCACAAATAATTTTGCCTATTTCTCATTAAAATAAGAAGTAAATTTTAAATAATAGTCCTGCATTTGATAGCCACAACCAAATAGTCCATCTTATATAAAAACCATAAGCCATATCCTATATTAGATCAAGAAATATATTTTAAATATGTCCTATCATGGATGAAGAATGATGGTGAGGAGGGTTTTATTGACGTGACAAACATGCTTACTATACATTCATTGTTAATTTAAAAAGATACAAAATTGTATATATAAGATGAATGTTTTCATAATAAACTACATATATACATTTTTAAAAGAAAAATACTTTAAAGGCATATACAGCAAGACCAAGGTGGTGGTTATCTCTGTGTGGTAGGATTGGGGTACTTTTATTTTCATAAGAACTATAGTTTCTAAATAGTCAATAAGAAACATGGATTATTTCATGATTCAACGAAGATTTTACTGTGTTTGTTGAAGAGTTTTCAATGTGATTAAGTATGATGTAATATTAATGACTTGGTATAAATAATATACAGCCAACTTATATTTAGATTCTAAGTTTTAATGAAAATATGCACTGTTATGCTCACAAAAACATGTCATCAATTGGTAATTCAAGTTGACTGCTCTTTTGTGTACCTGAATGTTATGATATTTTTGATTTCTTAATAAATCAGGGTTTTCTTCAAGGAGATAAATAGTTTCTTGAGCAATTGAAATATTTTAAATACCGTTTTATGCGTAATGAGATGGAAGTGCTAAAAGGATATATGTCATACATTAACAAAGTCACAGAATTAATGGGCTTAGGGAAGCTAGAATAAACATTTAGCAATCATTTAAATGAGTGATCAGAAGAATCACTAATTTTGGACAAGAATGCAGGTGTTCTGATTTCCTGTCCATTGTAATTATTCATTAGTTTTTGAAACCCAATAAATATCCTATTTTAAGTGAATAATAGTCTGAATTATACCTATGTGACCTTCTTTATGATGAGCATGTCAACACCAGATTAAATCTGATTTTTACCTGCTTGCGCTTCAGCTGAGTTCATTGATAGAATTCTGCTTTCTATTTAATATTTGGGTGATGGGCTCAACAGAAGCACAAACCCCAGCATTGCCCAATATACCTCAAGTATACAAACCTGCACTTATACCTCCTGAACCTAAAATTTTTTTTTTTTAATTGTAGGCCAAGCACAGAAGATCAGACCTGTAATCCTAGCACTTTGGGAAGCCGAGGCAGGTGGATGGCTTGAGCCCAGGAGTTCAAGAACAGCCTGGGTAACAAGGCGAAACCTCACCTCTACAAAAATGATACAAGAAATACCCAGGTGTGATGGCACATGCCTGTAGGTCCAGCTACTCAGGAGGCTGAGGTGGGAGAATTACTTGGGCCCAGGAAGCAGAGGTTGCTGTGAGTCGAGATTGCATCATTGCACTTTAGCCTGGGTGACAGAGTGAGACACTGTCTCACACACAAAAAAATTTCTGTATTTTCTATATCATTTTTCTTTAAACTATTCTGAAAATGATCTAATTGGGTCAATGTTATTTTGGAATAGACCATATTTCAGTCTGTTTTAAATATCTGCTTTTTAAATCGCTAGGATTTCTTCTGCCTAGTCAACTGGAATGTCTTTTGTTGCCACATCTACAGCTAAGCTACTCCCAAGAAAACATTCTTCCCCATATCTAGCCATATCTCTTGATGGAAATCTCTAAAGAGTTTGGTAAATTACAGGAAATATTTAATTTTATAATTAGATTGTCCTGAGTTATCAACAGTGACCAAGAGTGAAGGTGAGTGGTATCTTGTGATTGTCTGTGTCCCACAAATTCATGAGTTGAACCTAATTTCCAATGTAATGGTAGTGGGAGAAAGAGCCTTTGGGGAGAAGATTAGGTCTTGAGGGCAGGATCTAATGGGATTAGTGCCCATAGTTTGCCTTGCTGCTTTCACCTGGTGAGGACACAGTGAGAAGGTATCATCCATGAATCAGGAAACCTGCCCTCATCAGACACCATATCTGCTGGTGACTTCATTTTGGACTTCCCAGCCTGCAGAACTGTGAGAAATAATTTTCTGCTGTTTACAAAGCCTCCCAGTTTATGGTATTTTATTATAGTGCCCAAATCAACTAAGACAGTGAGGATTTTGTATTCAAGACTTTCAATATTCTTTGGTCACAAACTGCAATTTTAAGCTTTTTTAATAAAAAAAAGAAGCACTTGGCCTAGCATAGTGGCTCATGCCTGTAATCCTAGCACACTGGGAGGTCGGGGTGGGCAGATCATTTGAAATCAGGAGTTGAAGACCAGCCTGGCCAACATGTTGAAACCCTGTCTCTACTAAAAATACAAATAATTAGCCAGGTGTGGTGGTGAGCACCTGTAATCCTAGTTACTCGGGAGGCTGGGGCAGGAGAATTGCTTGAACCCGGGAGGCAGAGGTTGCAGTGAGCCGAGATTGCACTACTGCACTCCAGCCTTGGAGACAGAGTGAGATTCCAAAAAAAAAAAAAAAAGCACTATTCATAACTTAATTATTCCTGAAATTCCTGAAGCTCTTCAAATAAAGTTAAGAAAATGGAGGAGTGATAAGACATGATGAGAAGAAAAGGAGAGGCTTGGTTTAGGAAGAACCATACAACACATTATTAAATGAAAATTATTGAAGGCATGCTACAACTGAGGCGCTTGCCTTGGGGATTGAGGGTCTCAGTTAAGAGTTGTCATGACCACCTGGGTCCCATGCCAGGCATCTAATTTCCTCACTTGTGATCTCAAACTGACAAATGCAATGGCTGCAGATACCTGGTTCCTCTACAAGTTTGCATCCTCAACACTGTTTGACAATCCTTTGAATTTTCTTTAGCGGTTTTCTTTTGCATTCTAGACATGCCTGGCCTAGGTTTTTCCCATTCCTTTCAATGCACTTGCTCAGTCCCACTCTTTCTGTTCTACACAAAGAAACTAGTGTCTTACTTCACAGAACAATGAAAAGATAACTAGGGTAAAGTTCTATAATTTCCCATCCATGCTTCCATTTATTTATTAAATATTAAGTGGTACTGAGCACTTACTATCCACCAATTACTGTGCTACTCCAACTATATGATTTCATTTTTTATTCTCATAGATTATACATTATTTTACACTGATTGATCACTGACTCAAAGAATGACTGGGTAGAAAATATTGATAGCATCTAATTCACCCCTCTTCCTATGAATGAGGACAATAAAACCTGGAAAATATGCTTAAGGTTCAATGAGAAGCCACCGACAAAAGTCCAAATTAAAACCCAACTTCCATTATCATTACTCTTTGTTAAGGAAATTGGTTGGAATCTATCTGCAAAGCATTAGAAATCTGTTCCCAGAGCCCCTGGAATGATTTTCATACTGAAAAGCAAAGGAATAACTAAGAGTATGCTGCAATCGTGTGCTTTTAGAGATGAGAAAACAGAGATCCAATAAGGATGAAAACTGTTAGAACTTAGTCTATAAAAAAAGGGTCCATATTTCTAAATCTTCATCTCATCTCCTGAAATCCTCAAGACCACTATAACTTAATGCAAGCTTGCTGAGCAGCTGGTGTGCATGCTTAAATTTCTTGCTAACCAAGCACAAAATATGAGCATGAGTAGACTTAGAGCTCTTGTGCACCATCAGAAGCAGTGGGCATGCTTTTGCAGAAAGAAAATTTGACAAGAGTGGTAGCAAGGTTCTGGCTGACGAGCTTTGAGCACCCCTCTCCGGATAATGGATCAGCCTGGCTATCCGTGATCATGGATCTCACCCACTGAGCCACACATCCTCTGAGATGAGATGACCACCTCTTCTGACACAGGTACTCAAAGGATGTGTTCATAGAAGATTCTGTACACACGAGAGATGGGAACTATCATCCCATGGCTGCAGACCTTTTAAATGTTGAGTGGTATTTCCCAGATAATAGAACAAAAGGTCCCTAGGCCTCTGAAACATGAAATTTTGTTCCCCAATTTTTTTTTTTTTTTTTTTGAGACAGGGTACGGCTCTGTCATCCAGGCTGTAGCGCAGTGGCATGAATTCGCTCATTGCAACATCCGCCTCCTGGGCTCAAGCCATCCTCCCACCTCAGCCTCCTCCAGAGAAGCAGGCACTACAGGCACATGCCACCACACCCAGCTAATTTTCATATGTTTTGCAGAGACAGGGTTTTGCTATTTTGCCCAGGCTGGTCCTGAACTCCTGAGGTCAAGCAATCTGCCCACCTCAGCCTCCCAAAGTGCTGAGATTACAGGCATGCCCAGACCCAAATTTTATTATGAAGACATTCAAACAGACAAGCTGAAAGAACAATACAATGAACACTTACATACCTACCGTTAAATTCAATAAGCATTGATATTTTGCAATACTTCTTTCTCTATCTTTATTATGTTTTAATACCTGAAGATTTCACTGAAGAAAACCTATGAAAGAAACTTACTCAGATACTGTAAATGACTGTCCCTCCTTTAACCTACCCCACCAATCTTTGTTTGTCTTAATGGGAAAGAAGTTTAAGCCCTTAGATTTTGCCTTAAACTCACAAGACATTCAGCTTACAGGCTTAGTTCTACCCAATTTCTTGGTCACTGCCTTGATATTTAAAGTTTTTCTTCTGCCAGCTTCCCATATCCACATCTTCATGGTTGCCCTTCAATATGTCTTACCCAGACTAGTAAATTTTGCCACTGCCAAATTATTTACAAAGATCTTGCCTGTGCCTCAGAAATCCACACAGCAAAATTCCCTACTAAACTGGAACCAGTGTGAACCACAGGACCTAATAATGCACCTTTCATAGAAGACTCAGGCAGGTTGTTCATTAGGGCCTTATTTTTATCAGTCCAGAATAAAGCCTGTACTTATGGACTAATAAAAGTTGTTTCCATCTAAACACTTTTTTATCTTTTTTGTTCCCTGCATGCTCTCAGGTGATTCCTAGTATTCTTTATTTCCATCTTGCCAGTACATAAGCAGGACAGAATAGTGAAGATCAACGTCTTTACCTTCAGATAACTAAGCTCATCTGCAGAGCAGCTGTGTAATTTTGTCAGCAAGTTCCCTCATTTCTTCATGTAAGATGGAGAAAATGATGGTACCCATTTTGCTGGGTTAAAGTTAATATAAATAAGATAATATATGTAAAGTTCTGGCACTGTGACAAGTACATGCTAAGTCTCTTAATGAGTACTAACTACTGATATTAATATTATTACTATTTTAAGTGTCATTTCAATGCAGACCTATGGAATACAGACACAAACTTCTCACTACATTGTCAGCAATAGAAAATTACTGGCTGGGGGTGGGTAAGTAGCAGGAGGGGCAAAGTATTGTAGAATCAACTGTAACAATAGAATAATATATTTTAGCATTATATAAAATGGAGCTAGAAATTAAATAGAATAAAAGCTAACTTTAACTGAATTCCTTTTACCTATCTATTGCAAATGAACCTCCTTGAGTTGAGAAAGATCTGATATGCATAAATTTCTCTCTAAGGAATAAATTGTTCTACTATTTGCCCATTGAAGCTGGAATTGGACATTTATATATTTCCTGATGAATGTTCTTATTAATCTTCTCTTCACAATTAACAATACAGCTGAGAACAATCACCATTCATGAGCCCTCTCCGTGGGGAAGTGTTAATTCTATGTATGTTAGATGTGTTCAGGAACCTGCATATTTTTTAATAGCCCTTGATGGAAGTGGGAATGGGAGAATGATTATTTTCCAATGACATGAATTAAAGGTACAGCAATAGTGTCCCAGTGATCTTAATGATAAGAATAACTTGTCGTCATTTTTGTTTGATTAATGACTTAATGATATAAAGAAGCCAATTTATCATCTATAATATTGATTTACCCCTTTTCCCTCTCAATTCTTTTTTTTTTTTTTTGAGATGGAGTCTTGCCATGTCACCCAGGCTGGAGTGCAGTGGCGCGATCTCGGCTCACTACAAGCTCCGCCTCCCAGGTTCACACCATTCTCCTGCCTCAGCCTCCCGAGTAGCTGGGACTACAGGCCCCCGCCACTACGCCCAGCAAATTTTTTTTAATTTTTAGTAGAGACAGGCTTTCACCGTGTTAGTCAGGATGGTCTTGATCTCCTGACCTCGTGATCCGCCTGTTTTGGCCTCCCAAAGTGCTGGTATTACATGTGTGAGCCACTGCGCTCAGCCCCCTTTTCCTCTCAATTCTAAAGGCATTCTGATTTTGCTGTCCACTCAACTTTGCCTACATGCATTTATGAATTCATCCTCAACTTTTATTGCACTGCTATTTACAGTGTAGGTGCTTAGTCAGTATTGGGTATACAAAGGAGAATATGACATGTCCTGTGCCCTAAAAATAGGTATTCTGGAGAAACAGGAAGAGTGCAGGGTGATTTCTGCATTATTTCTGTGAAGATGAAGTGATATGATGGACAAAATGCATCCAGCACTGGGTCTGCTCTGGGTAACTTATCATTTCTAAGTCTCCTGCCTTCTTCTAGATTCTTACCTCCCTCCATGCTTAACTTTTTAAAAATATTAAACTACAGTCTTTTTTCATTCCCTATTCTCCACTGCACACATGGTCACCCTCTCATCAAGGTCTCTCTGATACTGTATGTTTTGTAGTTGATTCCAAGTAATAATTTTAGTATCATGTATCTGCTGAACACAATTCTTTCCATTAGTACTTTCGAAGTCCACCACTTCAGTAGAATCTTTTCAGACTTTGCCAGTCAACTTACCTTCTCTCTCTTCTATTTCCTTCTTTTCTGAGGCATGTATGTGAGCAGTGCCTGTATCTAACTCATTTGTCTACCACCAGTGTTTGCCACAGAGTACAAATGTGCTCTCATTCTGCCTCTCTTATCCCTCCCTCCCTTGAAGGCCAAATGCCTTTTTCTCGACAAATGTCATAAACAAAACAGCTGAATCTAAGGATCTAAGATAAAGTATCAGTCAGGAGTACTGAACAAAGCAGAAAATAAAAATGAGATAGAATAGACAAGAAATATGTGGAATTGGAGGCATCCTGTTGAGGGCTTTGGCTCTGAACTTGGAACAGGGTTTATGTACCATCTCCAGAGATTACTTTCTTTGTAATCTTTGGCAAATTGCATCAGCCTCTGTTTCTTCATTTGAAAACAAAGACAATAGCAGTTCCTAATGTATGAGGTTGTTGTAAGGGTTAACTATAATAATGCATGAAAGCACTTAGCTCAATGTCTGACCCATAACAAGTGTTCAATAAATGAATATTATTGTTATTATTATCACCATTATGAGAAGGTAACCACATATTCATGTAACACAGAATAAATTAGGCAACTGAAAATCTGAGTTTAGAATTTCTTCCACTCTAATGAAGAGAAATCCTTTATATTATAGTGTTTTCAGAGAAAGATATATTTTTTCTTCTTTTTTTCTAGAAAACCATCTTTTAATATGAAACCATGCTTTCAGTACAGAATAAACTTTAAAAGAAAAACTATCTTATTCTATAAATTATCCTCACCCAGATATCAGAGTATCACAGTTATTTCCTGACATAGAGGTATATTTGAGTATACATTTCCCATTAATAAACATGAGATGACTACTTTATTTATTTGCAAGTCTGATTGCTCCTTGGAAGGTAAGAGGTCACAATAAGCTTTCTCATCATCAGAGGGCCATGATCCCGTTGAGGCAGCTCAGAAGCAATTTACAAAACACAGCATCTCCCATATTCAAACAATTAGTTGGCATTCACAATGTTTTTGTATTTTAAAGAAACCCTATGTCTCAGCTATTTTGATATTCTTTATCCCTAGTCCTTAAAGAAAGCAGCTTTAGGATCAGCAGCTGATATTGGAAGATAATTCAGAAAAATGTAGTCTTAGCTGAGGTTAAGTTCCTTTGTAAGCATGCTACCTTAAGCTCTCAAATGTCTAGTGGATAGGAGGCTTAACTGTTTCTTAGTAGAATTGAAGAAAGATAAGGAAAATAGCACAATATTTCCATCCAATGAAAATTAACAGCTATTTTGTTCAGGAAAAGTTATATTTTGAATTGGGGACAACAGACCTGAGTCCATAAAGGACGGTGCCATCAGGATGCAGGCGAATCATGCGGTTCTTAACAGTCACTCCGTGCACAAATGACTTCTTATCGTTCAGGAAATAGGTATCAGGCACCCAGAGCTGGTCTGCCACTCTGTTGTCCAGAGTCAAGTTTAAAGGTATTACATTATAGGACAGCCTCTTATCTCTCCAGGCTTGTTGAAAGTACATTGTCAAGGTATAATCCTGTAAATGTGAGAAAAAAAAACATGGTTAGTTTACACCCAGACAGATCTGGGGGATAAGCAAACATCTCAGTATTAATAAGAAAATGAATTTATTTTTAATTTATTTTTATTTTTTTGAGACAGGGTCTCACTCTGTCACCCAGGCTGGAGTGCACTGGCACGATCTCGGCTCAATGCAGCCTCCCTCTCCCAGGTTCAAGCAATTCTCCTGCCTCAGCCTTCCAAGTAGCTGAGATTACAGGCATGTGCCATCGCACCCAGCTCTTTGTTTGTATTTTTAGTAGAGTTGGGGTTTCACCATGTTGGACAGGCTGGTCTCGAACTATTGACCTCAGGTAATCTGGCTGCCATGGCCTCCCAAAGTGCTGGGATTACAGGCATGAGCCACCACAACCGGCCAAGAAAACAAATTTATATATATATGTGTGTGTGTGTGTGTGTGTGTGTGTGTGTGTATGTATGGCCACAAATACAAACATATACTGTTCACATATAGAGGCAAATACTAATTTATTAAACCCATTCTTACCCAGTACCTGGCATGGGCCAGGCACAGTGGTGGGCACTATGAATACAGAAGTGAAGAGAATATATTCACATGAAATTTATGAAATATTTCCGAGGAAGAAAGATATTAAGGAATAATTACCTAATGATTAATTTGTGCTTCCCAAAGTGGAGTACACGGGACTCTTTTAGGTGAGATATAAACACAATTTTAAAAATAGTTATGTATTTGTTTCTATGTATACTAAAAAAATTAACTAGCACATCCAAACCTAAGAATCCATCAATTCATTCTTCCATTCATTCATTCATTAAATATATAATTTGTATCTAGTATTTGACAGGAACCATTGAGGTGCTGAGATGAAAGTGGTAAACAAGACAGATTAAATGCCTGCTCTCAGGGAATTTAAAAACAAAGCATAGATAAATCAACAGAATCATGTAAAATTATGCTACATTTTATGAGGCACATAAATCAAGGTGCGAAATATCTAACTGGAATGGTGACAAAAAGCTTTTCTTGGGAGTTGGCATTGTGCAGAGAGCAGAGAAGGAGCCCAAACCACTGGCTCTTGGGAAAAGAACATGCTGAGCAGAGGGGAATCTGTAGAGGCCCTAAGATAAATAGACAGGCTTGACATGTTTGAAGAATCAGTAAGACCTGCTTGTTTGAGCCAGTGATACATAGGGAGAGTAGAAACACAGCAGTCAAGAAAATTAGCCCCATGAAATTTTAGAAGGGTATGCATATTTAAAATAGATTGTTACAAAGTGGCTAACTTATTATGGTAGTAATTGTAAGAGTTTGTAAATGAGAATCCTAATCAGTCTAGTCTGATCAAGGTGGGTTTTCCAGAAAAGGCGACATGTACACTGAGGCTAATGTAAGCTTCTCAGCTATCTAAACAATATTAATTCAGTCAGTTTATCATGAGAATTTTAATCCCAGCCTTACGGACAAGTAGGCTGGGCTGCAACTTTTAGAAACAGTGGGCTGGCTCCTGTAATGTGAGCATTGCTCTTGGGGTCCCAATTCTACCATTTCTCAATTCTGTTTCTAGGATGTAAATATACATAACTTCTTTTAGTTTCAGTTCCATTAAATATAAATGGGGCTTTTAATACATGCCTGATCTAATCAGAAGGTTATTATGAAAATTAAATGTACAACTCAAATGCAATTTGTAAACTACAAAAAGCTATATACTATGAATGAAGCATTTATAAGTGACATATTTTATCCATTAGAAGCCTATGGGTACAATGTAATTGCTCTCTCACCCTCATCTGAATGACTAAGTGAAGGTCCAAATATTCATTTGAAAAGCATAATTACAATTCTATTTTAAAATCAGTTCACAATGCCCTACTTGAGGGTTTTTTAAAAACTAGAATCATGTATTAATTATCTCTGCAACCTGAGAGGCTAGAGCAGTGCCCAGGGCTCAAATAACAAATGAATGAAATAATATATGTCCAGTAAGCTATGCCTAGTGGATTTCTGCACAAATCTGCATAATTTTGTGTATAAGACACATACTTAAATTTCAGTAAAATCTTGCATTTTTCTAACCTTTGTTGAGATTTATACATCTTAATTGGTTTATATTATTTTAAAATATGACTCATATTATCTGCTCTAACACCGAACAGTTTTCATGGGAACAACGTAACTCGTTGTAAAAAATATTTAAATATTTTCTGTGGCTTAGAAAACACACACATTTTGACCTCACTCAGAAATTAGTGTAGGACCCTCCAATTTTACAATCAAACTTCTATCCTATCAAAAGACATATTAATATCCTAAATGTGTATCAAATAGTTGTCGGTGAAATTCGCTTTAGCGGATTACTCTGGTTAGCATTCTGGACTGTTCTGCAGCACTCTGCTTTAGGGAAGAATTAGTTTGAGGATCTCTAGAGGAGCATGTTAATTTACAATAGAAGCAAGATGAACATTCATGAATTATATAACTAGAAAACAGTAAAAGGATCAGATATATATTTTTGTGTGTGCCTATGTTACAAATAACCTAAAAACAGGACATAAAAAATAAAACATGCAATTAATATTGTGCTAGAAAGAACGCATTTAGTGATTTCCAATTCTTGAAATGGAAAATTTGACTATTATCTCTACAAGAGGAGAAAGCTACTTACACTTCTTTCATAAGCCCTCTTGAGAGTTAGGAGAAATAATACCGTTTGGAAGGTGCTGAAGTTTACAAATCAGCTGAGATGTGTTTGGACACAGGAAACTATCTTATCTTTTGGACTAAATAAATGTTAAGATTGTGAGACCCTGCATTACATGCTAATTTCTGTTATTTGTCAGCAAGGCAGTGCCTGCTAAAAAATGCTCCCAGACAGGCCCTGGTGATTCTGCAAACTGTCACATCAATTTTGATTTCATTTATTTTCAAATACACATCATGACACTGTCAAGAAAGGAAGAAGCTCCTGATTCGAACTCAATGTTAGTGCGCATAAAAAGAAAGCATGGTCCTGTCTTCTACCCTTTCCCCTAGGCTCCTATCCACCTGAGATAAATCCTTTGCACTTTAATATTACAAGGCTATCCTTCACATTTGACAACTCCACCTTTGGGAACTTGTCTCAGAGTTGGTTTATTCAAACTGAAAAACCCCAAATAAACCACTTCTGGGTGCTCCTTGATCCACGTTATCACCACCCGAGAAGGATTTACATAATTAAAACTAAAGCCAATTGATTTTCAATACCAAACAAGATAAAGTAAACCCATTGCAGGTTATTTCTTCCACGAATTACAACTAAAAATTCTGGACGAAATAAAACCACAACTACCTGATGACTATGCAAAGTAGAAAGACTGAGGAAATAATCAAAGTGTGAGAAATACTACTATAAGAGTGAGTTTCTCGATTATTTTTCTTCTTCCTCTTGTACTCCTTAAAGTAGCATGCATGTACACACACACCACACACACACACACACACACACACACACACCTGCAGCCAAAAGTATAAAGACCTCAATAAACAGAGAGAGATATTTCTGGACTCACAAAGTGAATATTGTTAAGATGTTGATACTCTCTAAATTGGTCTACAGATGAAATGCTATCTCATTTAATCTCAAATGTTATTCACTTCATTTCAAACCCTATCAGGATTTTTTTTGTAGATGTTGACAAGGTGATTCCAAATATTTTTATTTATATATATATATATATATATATATATATATATATATATATATATGAAAGAGAATAGCCAAAACAGTTTTGAAAGAGAAAAAACAATGCTGGAAGACTCACACAATCTGATATCAGGACTTACTATACTGATTTAAATACTTACTAATACTACCACTGTGTGGTAGTATTGATAGAAACATAGGGTCTAAAACAGAAGAGTCTAAAAGTAAACCCATGCACCAATATGTTCAATTGATTTCTGACAAAGGTACAAAGACAGTAGACTGGAGAAAGCATAATCTTATTATATAACAAAAGGTTTGGATCAAATGGAACTTCCATATACAAGTAGATAAATGGATACGTAGATTAAAAAATTTGACCCATACTTCACATTGTATATAAAATTTAATTCCAGATATGTCATCGACTTAAGTGTAAAATGTAATACTATAAAACCTTAAGAGAAAAACAGAAGAAATTCTCTGACTTTCGCTTCAGCAAAGACTTCTTAGATACAAACCTAAAAGTATAAGCAATAAAACAAAAAAATGATAAATTGGACCTCAACAGAATTTAAGGTTTTTTTTCCTTTAGCAATGACACTATTAAGGGAGGGAAAATATAAACTACAGACTGGAAGAACATATTTGCAAATCACATATCTGACAAACAACTTATATCCATAAATATAAGCATATAATAATTCTCAAAATTCAAACAATCTAACAAAGATAAGCAAAAGATGTGAACAGACACTTAACCAAAGATACAAATATAGTAAATAAGTTTATAAAATGATGCTCAACACCACTAGTCATTATGGAAAACAAATTAAAAAACTCAATGAGATGCTACCACACACTCATTAAAAAAGTGCAAATAAAAATATCAAAAAACAACTGACAATTCCGAGTGCTGGTGAGAAGGTACACCCAAAGTCTCATACATTGCAAGTGGAAATACAAAACTGTCAGCCATGTGGGAAGCAGTTTGACAATTTATTATAATGTTAACATACATTTGACACAGAACCTAGCAATCCCACTCCTTTGTGCAATTGTTTACAGCAGTTTCATTTTAATTGCCAGAAGTGGAAGCCATCTGAATGTTCTTCAGCCGATACAGGGATAGACAAATTGGAATGCATCCCTGAAACAGAATACTACTCAGCAATAAAAAGGAACCAACTTATTGATATAAGCAATATCATTAATGGTTTTCAAATACAGAAAGCTAAGTGAAAGAAGCCAGATTCAAAAGGATACATATTGTATCATTCCATTTGTATGACATGAAAAAGGTGAAACTATAGAGATGAAGAACAGATGAACGGTCCCCTGGGGTTCAAGATGGGGGAGCAGTTGACCTCAAAGGGCAAGCATGAGAGACTGATTTTGGGTAATAGAACTGTTCTGCTTCTTAATAGCAGTGGTGGTGTTAGGACTTTAGGCATTTGTCAAAACTCAGAACTGTATACCAAAGCGAGTGCATTTTTCTGTATGCAAATAAAAAATAAATCTTTCAATTGCTTTCAAAAAAGCATAGTCTCTGGGGTCAGACACACCTAGGTCCACATCCCAGTATGTTTATGTTCCTCTGATGTGAACTTGAGGGAATCCTTTCAAATCTCTGAGCCTGTTTCCAAGTCAAAAGAACAACTATAGCTAATTAACATAGGAACTGGGGGAAACAAAAGATATCTGACATCTGGAGGGAAAAAAAAAGGTAGAGTTATGCTACAGATTAAGTCTCCTTCATGAATACACAGGGACATAGGGCTCCACCAGGACAGGCTGACAAGGCCACCATAATGGTTATAGGCTCTCTATTCTGAAATTGTACAACAATGCACTTAGAGTAGGTGGTTTCAAAGGCCATTTCTAGGGATGAAATAATTCCATTCTAGAAAATCCTCTGCTGACCTTATATTCAAACTCATGTTGTCATTTAAAAATCTTCTATATGTCTAAACACTTTTTGTTTTTGCTTTTATTGTCTTTATAGTTTGTTTTCTATTGCCAAGATTTAAACCTTTCTTGTCTCTCTGGCTCAGTGTCTAAAAATTACATACTGTAAAACGTGTGTCTGTGTTTCTTATCTTTTTTAAGTTTATTGTTTTGTAAAGTGCCTATTCATCCTCATTGAACATTTTTTTATTTGGACATTTACTTCTTGTTATAGGATATTTAAATATACACAATACATACACACACATACATATACATCATATGTTATTGTCTTTTACATTCGTTTTAACTTTATAGTTTGAAACAAAAACTAGTACAGAGTTTCTGCATAGTTTTTACATTGCTTTCTCTAAGACTAACTTTTGCAAAGCCATAAAGTAATATAGAACCAGGAAATTGACATATATAATAATATTAACTACAGACCTTATTACACTATCTCTCATATCAATAATGCCCTTTTTCTGTTCAAGGATCCAACCCAAGAACCACCTTACACTTAATACTTATGCTTCTTAACCTTCAACCTGTGACAGTTCCTCAATGTTTCCATGTCTTTGATGGGTAGCAGTCAGTTTTTTTTGTTGTTGTTGAATGTCTTTCAGTTTGGATTTGCTTGGTGTGTGCTTATGATTAGATTGAGATTATACCATTTGGGTCAGTGTATCACCTAAGCAATATTGTATCCATCATATAAAGTGTACATATAAAGTGTACATAATGTCAAAATGACATTCTGGAAAATTCCTGGTCATCTTAATCTTGAATCGTTGGTTAAGGTAGCATCTGCTGGGCTTCCGCACTGTGAAGCACTATTATCCTTTGTAATAAACAAATATCTTTGGTAGATATTTTAGGATTATGGAAAGTAATAACATATTTACACTGATATCTATAACCACTGCATTATTGTGGGGTATTTTTGCATGCTTTCTAAATTTCTCTTCACTCATCTAAACCTGAATCAACATATTCATTCAATGACAATTTTTAAGTACTAATAAGACAAACCAAAAAAAAGGAAACACCAACATCAGCCATTGAAAGAATTTTATCATTAGAAAGTGAGAAGTATCCCCTTGAGAATTACTTTCCATTTACCCTCATTTTCCATGCCAGTGGCATTGTTCTGGCCACTTGAAGCTATAGAACTGCATTCTGGATGTGTGGTGCAGCATCTCCCCTTGTCTCAAGCCTGCAGGTTGCATGTGAGTGGCCTCTATCCCCACCTGGACCTTAATGACTATTCAACCATGAGCTTCGGCCCTCCCCTTCCCCTTCATTTATCTTCATTTATATGGTTTCCAATATGCATTTTTTTCTGTAGAGACTTCAGCATTTATTATCTATGGAGTTTTTCCTCTTTTCTTTTAAAGCATGGCTATGTATATGGGGAAATAGTCAATAAAATTATGTATTTTTCCCTACCATTTCTCTATTTGACAATAAGATAGCAGGGTAAGGGGTTGGTTTCACATGTATTTGGTCTGCCATTTAAAGACATAAAGACACCTAACAGCTTATTTTTTAATGATCAGAGTTTAAAGTTTATTTTCATCAGTGATAAGGTATAGTCTGTTTAATTTGCTTTGTCCATTAGAACTACACTTTCTAAGTTTTGAAAATTACCATTACTGAACTAAAATCTTGAGCTTTGGTGATTAAACTTGCTTGTTGAGTTCTTCTAGATAACAGCTTTGTCTCCAAAATTAGATGGTTTCAGAGAAATCACTCTCTCTGCTATCAGGCTTTTGTAATTTTAAAAGACAAAATATTTAACTTCATCTTAATTACCGCTTGTTGAAAGAACAACTGTGTCTAATATACCATCATTTGTTATTTTCTTTCACTTACGCTATATCAAAGTTGAGGTTTTGAGCTGAGGATCTGACCTTCTGTCTTTCATAAGACAAGGCTAATGTTTTTAAGGTAGTAAAAATCTGTGATTTGGAAACTACAAGAGCAAGTGTTATTTAATTTAAATGTAATACAAGTTTCATGTGAATAAAACTCCACAATTGTTCAGCATAGCATATTTGTAGCTTTTACTATCATTCTGGGTAGAATGTTTTAACTTTAGGCATTTTAGAAAAGTATTTCAGTTTTTTTGTCAGTATTTCCACTTTTCAAAAATATGACACAACAGGACTGATTTCCAAAGATTGGAATACCAAACTATTTTCACAATTAAAAACTTATTTTTTTCCACTTCATGGGAGAAAATACATCTGATGTGTAAATTATTACCTGAATAATATCAAAATGAGGCCTAAGTCATATAGTATGTACATTCTCAACATCATAGGCTGTGAGAGTAAAGATTCCATCTTAGTTATGTGTATAAAGTCAATATTTCCAGTAAATGGTAGAAACTACAATTGCCTCTTACGTGGTATAAATTTCCTGTTGGATACATGGGAATATGTACAGAGATTTCTAAAATGTGCATATTCTTTGCTCTGATCTTTGCATTTGCATGCTTTGGAATATTTATAGAAAATAATTCAGCAGCAAGTTTTGACAGCTTTATTTCCAAATATTGTCACAAGTCTATTACATCTGTCTCCAATACAAACAATCTAGTTTAAGGCACTATTATTTACGAGTTCCTGTAATGCCATTGTTACTATCTCCTTGAGGCTAACCCTTGCTCCTACAGTGTAGCAGAAATGTAAAGCAAATCATGTCTTTTCCTTGCTTAAGATGGTCTAAAAGCATTTTATTGCACTTAGAATAAAATCCAAGCTTATTACGATGGCCTTTAAGGCCTATGTAACCTGGATTCTGCCTACCTCCTTGATCTCACTACCTATTCCCTCTTCCTTTCCCTGAACTCCACTCACTAAGCCCATCCACACTGGCCTGTTCTGTTTTGCAAATACTTCAAGTTCCTTCAGACTTCGTCTTAACAACTGACTGAAAACCTAACTGACAGGCTATGTCCCCAAGCATGGTTGGTTCCTTCCTGGGACTCAGAGCTCAACTCAAAGCTCAAACCTCCTTGGTGGGGTTTTCCCTTCCTCTCAGTCCTAACAATCTCTGTCACATCCCTCATTTTTATAATGTTCACAGTACTTACTATATTTTTTCAGTTAATAACATTCATTTATTTGTCTCCTCATGTATTTTCATGTCGCCCAACTAGAAGGTAAGTTCCATGAAAGTAAGAAGCTTTCTTAGCTTATTCACTGATGTACCCCTATGCCTAAAACAGAGCTTAGAACATAGTAGCAATAAAAAACCCCCCAAATTATTAAAAGATATGAAAGCATGAATGAAAGACACCACATAGACCTTAAGACCCCCAAAAAACTTACTGTTATATTAGCAATAAAATAAAAATTAGTAAAAACCTAACTGTTCATCAATATAAAATTGTGTATATGAAACATAGTACAAATATATAATGAAACACATACAGTCATACATATTATAAAAATATTTATGACATGAACAGATGTTATTACTATAACATCTTATTATATTATTAGATCTTATCTTTTTGAGAAGACTACAAAACAATATGCACAATATGTCCCAATTTGGGAAACATACATATAGATTGAGAAAATGTGTCCAAAAATATTTCTAATATTAATAGTAGTATCTCTGTGTGATGACATGTCAAGTGATTTTCAATTATTTTTGTTAATCTGTGTTTTTTTAGGTGTATCATTTCTATAACAAAACTAAACAAGTAATTACTTGTTGAGTTAAATTATAAAACTAGTATCTAACATTACAAATATGTCTTTATGCATATTTCAGAGGTTGGTATGAAGAGAAAGAAAATTTACTCATAGTCACAAATAAATGAGAAGTCTCTACCTTTAGGCTTGTTATTAACAAAGCATAAATTTCTTTTATATTGAAAAGGAGTTCATTTAGAATCATACAAAAAGTAAGAGCACCAATTGTTCCACCATTTTTCCTTTTCCAGGGAAGCAAACGCTTAAGCCATCATTGATCAGTGAAATCACTACTATGTTTCCTCTTAAAAACCAAAAAAAACCAAAAAACAAAAAACAAAAAGAAAACAACAACAACAAAAAAGGCAACCTAACTTCAGTCTTCTTCACCTCACCAGGAAATGTTATTTCATTTTTAAGGTAAAGACTTCATATCTGCTTCATGTCTAATACTCAGAGGAGATGGAAACATTATTCACACATACACATACACATACACATACACATACACATACACATACACATACACATACACATACAGCTGTTCACTTAAGTCTAATAGCACCCTCTGTACTGCAATGGAAGTTCAAGTCAAAGGATTCTTCTGCAAAAGCTTTCAAAGAAACCCTATGGCCATGAAGTACAAGCTCCTTACAAAGCTCTTCACAATCTGTTCTACTCACTTCACCTTTCTTCATCTCTATTTTCTCATCCAAAGTGAACAATCTGAGATAGAAAGGATGATCCCTGTTTAAGAGTTTCAGACATCCTATGCATCTCTGACACTACACTTACCTTCAACGAATCACTTTCCTGATCTTTTGCTTGAATTAAACTTTTCTATCTCTCTTGATACATCTTTTCTTTCCTTTCATGTTTTTTTTTTAATCATGGAGAATTGCTGCCCCTCTTTCCTGTCTATCCAAACCCTGCCTATCTTTCAAACTTCCATGAGGATCCTTCCACTTCCCCTACACATCAACATTCATCCTCTGAGCCTTCTAATGCATGTTCTGTGGTAAGCCGAACACTACTGAATTGAACAGTTATTTAGATGAGGGGAATAATCTCCACAACTAAACTACACAATAGCCCCCACTTTATCCATGAGGGACACGTATCAAGACCCCCATTGGATGTCTGAAGCCACAGATAGTGCAGAACTCTATGTATACTATGATTTTTCCTATGTAAACATACCCAAGATAAGTTTAAATTATAAGTCTGGCACAGTAAGGAATTAACAACAACAATAATAAAATAGAACAACTGTAACAATATGCCAGAAGCTTTTCTCTTGAGCTGTATGGCTATCATTAAGTAAAATAAGGGTCACTTGAACACAAGTAATGTGATACTGTGATAGCTGATCTGCTAACCAAGAATGCTACTGAGTGATGAACAGGCAGATAACACAGACAGCACGGAGCTGCTGGACAAAGGGATGGTTCACTTTCTAGGTGGGACAGAGCGGGATGGCGAGAGATTTCATCACACTCCTCTGAACGGCACTCAATTTACAGTTTATGAATTGTTTATTTCTATAATTTTCCATTTAATATTTTCGGACAGTGGTTGACCACCGGTAACTTAAACCATGGAAATAGAAACCTGAGATAAGGGGAAACTACCATACTATGCTCCCGAAGTCAGAAACCATGTCATCATTTCTTGGTTAAGTGATCCAGGCGTCTTATCTTTAACACAGGTGACCCTTCATGAGTATTTCTTCATCGATACACTAAAGCTTGTTCATGCTTCCTGCATGGGTTTTAAATGTTGATTTTAAAATCCTCTTTAGTCATCATTATTCCTGAATCACCCAAGAAATTTGTTCTCTCCACCCACTGGCATTTGAGAGCTAGGTTTCATTTTTTCTCTTTCTTACCTGTTTCAAACACCCTCAGAGCTACTGGTGATCTCTCAGTGTTTCATAGCTGCTCCAGTTCTACCAACCAAGGTCCCACAGCTGGGAATAAGGATTTCTGAAGGACATAGTTTATCTATCAAAAGCAAACGAAACTCAGAGAGGAATGCAAGTATTCCCACAAAGCTGTTTCCACACTCCTAGTTCTTTAAAATGCTCCATCTTCCACATCTGAGCCAACAAATTGCAGATCCAATTATAGGTCATGGTAATATTTCCTCATTCTCAACCTCCTAAACTAGAATGTAATGGAGTAAAACTCAGCTCCCCCTTAATAGAAGGCATCACGCCAGATGTTCAATTGCAGCATTTTGGAAGAAGCACATGGTAGCAGCCCTGACTAATTGCTAGAGACACATTCAGGACATGGAAGCTGCACCTAAGATCACCCATAAGGGAAATCCAAGTTCAGAAGTGACTAATTATTTTCTTGTATGTGAAACACAAATGCACATGGTCCAGGCAATCAGTTTTTCCACTATGTTGCTTAGTTCATTTTACATCTTATCATAGACCTACCTTCTAGGTGATAACGGGACTGGTTCTAAGGATTGCTAAAATAATCCAGCCCTATAACTGCCTATCTCTGACCCTTATCTTAATATGTAAAATTCCTAGCAGAGGACTCAGTTCACCTTGAGATAATCAACATTAAAAGTGTACTTTGTGTATATGATTTATTCGCTATCAATTTGTGCTTTTTATTGCCCTATAAATTCATCTCAAATTGCTTTAGAGTATTTTCTCTTCTAATTAGTCTGTACCCAATGTTAATACTTAACATTGTCCCTAGGTTCTTGCTTTTTGCATGCATTATTTCATTAATCATCACAATAGCACTATAAGTTATATATTAGATTAACCACTTAACTAGCTGCTGTGAGACCTTTGGCATGCTACTTAACCTTCCCGAGACACCATGTTTCATAAAACAAGAGAGATCACAGTTTCTATGAGTAAATAAATTCACCCAAAGAAAGTGATTAGTAGAATGCCTGGCTCAGATTAAATCTACAAATGTTTGTTATTATTATTAATGTTTGTTATTATTATTAATCTCATTATTTCCATTTTCCAAGTGACACATCTGGCAAGTGATAATTCCAATATCACTCAGTCAATAATTTTCTAAGACCTGCCTGGTTTGGTTGTGGGATTCTCTGACCATTAGCCCGTGTTCTTAGTACTATACTAAGCTGCCTCTGGAACACCCATCTTACTGCCAGTTTTGATTCTGACCCATCCTTCGCCAACATTGCTTCTATTACCCTCCACCTTCCCTCCAAAACACACACACACATACACGCACACACACACATGCATACGCACACATGCACACACACACACACAGTCATATACTAGAACTATTTGGGACATACATAAAATAAATTATTTCTCGGGTGGGGGTGGGGAGATGAATGTCAGTCCCTGAGAATTCTGTGTGATTTGAACTCTGAAGTTGTGCAGGTATACACGTGCTCCTAAACACACAATTTTACACAAAAGGTAATTACATAAACTTTGTGTTAAATTATTAAAGCATCCCTAGTTTTGGCAGAGGGTGTACTTTAGCACTGAGGGGCCTAAAGTAATTAGAGGGATGTACGGTGCTACCTGTAATAATGTGCTCATTCAGAAATAATTCAACTGGAGAAATATGTCCAACAAACTAAAACATGCTCAGCATAAATTCATACCATCAGGAAGATTCTTTTCGGCAGAATGGTGACAATTATTACTTAACACTTGGGTTGAACCATTAAAAATTAACTTTTTTTTCAGTTAAAAAAGGTGTGACTTTTACCAATTTCATGTGGTTCAACATGGACATAGTAGAGAATATAAGCATAAAGTTATTAAATTTATTTGACTGTGATTAAGAATTTCAGATTCTAAATAATTAGCAACACTCACACAGCCTAATTTATCAAGTTATCAAGCCTAATTTTGAAAAATGAAAAGCTTATTATTTTTATATTGAGTTTTTTAGATGGCTCTGTAATTTGTGTTCAGAATAAGACGGAAATTCAGATTATGCCCTAATGCTTAGAGGATTTTCCAAATTCTCTATTAAACATTTTGCCTTGATAAAGCAATGATAGTAAAGCTATGTAGATTGTATCCCTTTGAATGCAACCATCCCATAGAGAAACTCAGCAGATTTTTCTAAATAATACAATGATAGCCATTTATATAACTAACTTATTACAAAATGCTGAAGTTGGGCAGTAGGCCATGATCCAAGATGCGGAAAAAGTGTAAGTAAGGTGGCAGGTTCCGTGAATATAAAGCATTAAAGACAACATTGTACTTACCTCGAGGAGGAAAAAAATACAAGAACAAACTTCCTACCAAGAGCATAGGAACACAAATTGACGATTTCATTTGTTTCATGTGTAAGACACCAAGTGGGAGTAATTTTGTTTAAAGGAAAAAGAACATTAGAATAAGGGTTTGATCTCACTTAAAAATTAAATTGAATTTTGTTGCTTGATTTGGTGGATTCTTAGGAACAAAAATAGCATCCTCTGCCTCTCTCCTGCTGCTCTTACCCAGATTGTATGAATACATTTTTATCATTAATAGAAAAATCCTATTTGAATATCATCAGCCACTGTTAGACCCAACAAGCTCTCCAGCCATGTTAAAGGTGCTAAGTGGCACCTCAGTATTTGCTGACTTTTTAAGATGTAGAGTCAAGTAAAATTTGCTGTCTCCATTACAGACTAGGAAATGTGCTAAGGGCTGAATGGATCTTGGTCTAAGACAACCAGAACCCCTGTTTTCACCAGACATCAGTCTGGTAGAAGAGAAAAAGTATAAACAAGGAAACAAATATCAGAAAACAGAAAGGGTAGATGAAGAAGTAACCTCTGAGGAGGTGGATATTTGAGTAGAGAGGTGAATGTGTAGAAAAGCCCAGCCATGCAAAGCTATGAAGAAAGTCCCAAGCCCAGGAAACAGCCAGTGCCAAGGCCCTAGAGCAGGGATGGATTGGGAAGAGACCAGCTCTAAGCATCTTATAATGTATTTTTGGCGTACTGGCTTTTCCTTATCAGAGCTTGGGGAAGATCTAAAGATTGGTCTATAGCTTTTGAGAGGCAAACCTTCCAAAGATCATCAGCAATTCTTTCATTCCTCCCTGTTATCTTGCAGATGAACTCAATTTTGCGATGACATTCATTTAGTCAGGATGTTTTGCTCAGTTTCCCTCAGAAATTGACTCATTACAAAATCCTAAATGGGTTTTCTCCCTTTCCTATGTTTCCCATTCTTTCTATACCTCCATACAGTGCGGGGCCTAATTTTATGAACTAGAGAATTTTCTTTGTTACATTTTAATTTAAGAAAAATATCATAATTTAGCTTTTCTAATGCTTCAGAATCATTGCTATTTTCAGAAACACAACATTGTATATATACAAGAGGTAGCATGGCAATTTACTTTTTATTATTATCAGTCCAGAAGAAACACATTTTCAGAAGAATAGGTATCAATGTGTTCTGCTATTCCCCTTTTGCTTTATTGCTCTCTCTTAGAAGCATTCGGTGATTGTTGGGAAATCATTCATTTTCAGGGAAACTCATAACTAGAAGGAAATTACATTACGTCAGATATAATACCAGAGTCTTTAACACATTTGTCTTTTTCTCTAACTACATTCAAAATAAATTGGTTTTTATATCTGCTCATAACTTTACGGTATAGTCAATTACATACCCCAAAATCCTTTTCGATCAGGAGTTAATTTTATATCCCTAGGCCAATACTATAAAAGCAATCTCCTAGGGGTGCATCTAATTATAATGTCTCTGAGAGCTGGTTGTTCTAGACTAAACGTGACCACCAAATCTCATGTTGACTTCTCATATGCATTCAGAGAAGGCAAAATGTCAACACACCAGCTGGAGAGAGGGAGAGGGTGCAATGAAAAGAATAGTTAATTGGCAAGTTGGAGGGATGCTTGAGGACTACCTCCACCAATTAACACCTGATGGTTTTAGAGAGAAATAGCTTAATATCTCTAAGTTTCATGTTTTGCTTCTGTGAAACAGAATTACTACTACCTCTGTAACATGTCCCAAGATATAGAATTACACATGACATGTGAACTTTGCCCCAAGACACACAATTACATATGATATGTGAAAGTCTAAGTCTACATGTGGGAAGACAGTGTGGCTTAATGTTAATCCTCACTTTATTATTATTATTCCTCACCTTACAGTTGAAACCCAAGAGAAGATGACTTCACTAGTGAATCTGCCAAACATTTATAAAATAATTAGAATCAATCCTCTCCAATCTCATCCAGAAAAAATAGGGAACACTTCCAAACTCATTTTATGTGGCCAGCATTACACTAATCCCAAAGTCAAAGACACTATGGGGAAAGAAGACTAGAGACCAATATTGAATATTGATGCAAAAATCCTCAACTAAATACTAGCAAACTGAGCTCAATAGCACATGAGAAGGAATACACATCATAACAAGTAGAATTTATTCCTGGAATGCAAAGATGGTTCAACATATGAAAATTAATCAATGTAATACACTGCATTAACAAAATTAAGAAAAAATCATATGACCATTTCAACTGATACAGAAAAAGCATTTACAAAATTTAGCATCTTTCATTATGAAAACCCTCAACAAACTAAAAAGGAAACTACCTCAACATAATAAAGACCATATACAAAATGTCCATAGCTAATATCATACTCCATAGTGGAAGACTGAAAGCTTTTCTTCTGAGATCAAAACAAGACAAAGATGTCCACTTTCACCACTTCTATTTAGCACAGCCCTAGAAAGTCTAGCCAGAGCAAATAGGAATGAAAAGACATCCTAATTGGAAAGGAAAAAGTAAAATAATCTCTGTTTGCAGATAACATAATCCAATATGTAGAAAATCCTAAATATTCCACAAAAAACTGTTAGAATTATTAAATGAATTTGGCCAAGTTGCAGAACACAAAGTCAATATTCAAAAATCAGTTGCATTTCTATAAACTAACGATGAGAAATACAAAAAAGGAAATTAAGAAAACAACTTCATTTACAATAGTATCAAAGAGAGTAAAATACTTAGGAATAAACTTAACCAAGGTAACAAAAGATGTGTACTCTGCAAACTGTAATATGTGATAAAGAAATTAAAGACACAAATGAATGAAAATAAACACCACCTTCAAGGTTTGGAAGGCTTAGTATTGTTAAGATGTCAACACTACCCACGGTAAACTACAGTTTTAATGCAATTCTTATCAAAATCTGAATAGCACTATGGTATTTATTTTCAAAATAGAAAACTGTATCCTAAAATTTATAGAAAACCTCAATATACCCCAAATAAACAAAATAATCTTGAAAAAGAGCAAAGTTGGAAGTCTCACCCCTCCTGACTTCAAAACTTATTACTAAGCTATAGTAATCAAAACAGTGTGGTAGGGGCATAAACACAAATGTATGGCCAATGGAATAGAATAGAAAATCCAGAAATAAACCCTCAAATGTACGAATAAATGCTCTTAAGCAAGGGTGCCAAGACTACCCAATAAAGATGAGACAGTGTCTTCAACAAATGGTATTGGGATAACTGGATAACTCTAGGCAAAAGAATGAAGTTGGGCTCTTATTTTATACCATATATAAAAATTAACCCAAAATGGATTAAAGGCCTAAATGTAAGACCTAAAGTTATAAAATGCCTAGAAGAAAGTACAGAGAAAAGTTTCATGACATTGGATTTTGTAATAATTTCTTGGATATAACCAATAGCTTCAGCAACAATAGACAATGGGATTACATCAAATTTAAAGACTTATGCATACCAAATGAAACAATCAGCAGAGCTAAAGGGCAACCTAAGGAATGGGAGAAAATACTTGTAAATAATGTATCTGAGAAGGTATTAATATACAGGATATATTTTTAAAAACTCCTACAACTCATAACAAAGGAACAAACAACGTGATTAAAAAATTGGCTGAAGATTTTAATACATTTCTCCAAAAGATAATATATAAATGACCAACAAGCATATGTATATATTCTGAAAATCACTAATCATTATAAAAATGCAAATCAAAACTACAATGAGATATCTATCACTTTGTATATATTATTATAACTACTATAGACAAACAAACAAAAGCAAAAAAAAAAAAAAAAAAGAACAGTAAGTGTTGATGAAGATGTGGAGAAACTGGAACCCTTATACTGTTGGTAGGAAAGTAAAATGGTGCAGCTGCTTTGGAAAACAGTATGGCTGTTCCTAAAAACATAAAAATAGAATTGCTATACAATCCAGCAAGCCAAGTTCTGGCTATATATATCCAAAATAATTGAAAGTAGGATCTCAAAGAGATAGTTGCATATCCACGTTCATAGCAGTATGAATCACAATAGTCAAGAGGTGGAAGCAACTCAAATGTCCATCAGTGGATGACAGGATAAACAAAATGAGGTCAAAACATACAACGGCATGTTTTTCAGCCTTAAAAAGATAGATATTCTGACACATGCTATGACATGGATGAACATTGACAACATTATGCTAAGTGAAATAAGCCAGTCACAGAATGCCAAACACGATATGATTCCACTTGTATGATGTATCTAGAGTAGTGAAGTTCATAGAGACATAAAGTAGCATAGTGGTTTTCAGGAGCTGGGGACTGAGAGAAATTGAGGGTTGTCGTTTACAGGGTATAGGGCTTCAGTTTTGCAAAAGAAAAAGAGTTCTCAAGATTGATGGCACAACTATGTGTATGTAATAACACCACTGTAAACTGTTCACTTTTAAAAAGTATATTAGGGACATTCGTTAATTACAGCTTTGTGTATAGTAAACACAAAATCATTTTGCAAAGAAACCTTCACTTGCTTTGTAAATTTGGATTTCTACGTAGTTATTTAGCAAACTTTTCTATGTTTTTAAAAAATATAAGAATAACTGGAGCTATTCTTCCCCTCTCCTTTTGAACAATTACACTGAGCAAATAAACCATATTAATCACAAAGTCTCTGTTGCTACAGAGTGCAGAGAGATCGGTTTGTTCAAAGTGATCAGGAAAAAATTAACTTGGAATACATATATTCTCTACGAAGGGAAGACATGTAAGGGAAATTGTATTTATGAGTCTCTGACATAACACCATTAAGTTATTTTTAAACCTCACCTTGAATTACAAAGGTTGCATACATATTACCATTCTATTTTCAAACCAAATAAACTCACTGACATAAATTGCTACTTTGACCAGATATGGTAAATCTGATGTTGGTCATGAAAATGATCTTTGAAATCTGTGCCATCAAGTTTTAATAATTAATTTTCTGCCTACAACACATTGGCCAGAAGTACATATTATTATTAAGCACATCAAAACAAAATTATTTACAATATGCTTGTGTTTTCTGACCTTCATGGAGTTTTCTTCAAAGGTTGTTAGTTTGCTGGTTAGAAAAGAATAACCTTGAAAGAGATATTGGGAGAGGATTGGGAAGACAAACTGATATTCCACCTAGATTTCCATGAATATCTTTCATGGTTGAGTACAATGCATACTACATCATACAATGTGCCCTTCAGATAAATATGCCTTATTTATGCATACTTGTGATGAGCAGGGTCCATCCCATCTTAACTGACTATTTTATTTTTTCCTTCAATTCTAAGCAGTGAAAAAGTGTGAGGAAACTGGCAGAGAGAGACAAAAAGTGCTATGTAGATCCTTTTCAATATTTTAGGTGCTTATTTTCATTTTGCTCAGCATGGGCTAGGCTCATTCTCTCTGAAGCAGCAAGCTCTGAAGAGATCTGACAGTAGTAAAAAGAAAGGACATTTTAAAATAAGTACATATCCCTGCTTTCATGCTTTTGACAAGCTTGTAGAACCTGAGAGGAAGACCAATTTGCAGACCCAGGCTGGTACAACAACAAAAAATACACTTAGTCAAGAGAATTCTCATGCTTCCAAGAGAATACCTGATGGACCAAGATGAAACATAAATGCATATGACTACTTTTAGATGCAAAGACAATGTTTTTTAAAAAATTGACACCAAAGTGTCTTTGGGCACAAAGTTTTATCACTCACTCTGTCTACATCAGATATTCTTTATATACACTGAATGCACAAACAGGCCAGGATTGTCAGGGTTGAAGTGGAATACCCTCCTTTGGCGAGAATGACCTCCCAACCACCACACAGCTTACCTTCTGCAAGTGCAGAGTTAGCATTTACACAGTACTTCTTACATTGTGCAACCTAATCAGCTCACTCTAGTCCTTCCTGCGTGATATATAGACATGAATTTCAGTAGTTTCTAAAATGATGACTATCAATTTTCATTGACATAAAATCACCAAAAATTTGAAGACCATGAAAAATTATAATGAAGAAAATTTAAGTTGCTCAAAATAGCAGAGTAACCATGAACACATTGAAACAATTTTTTTTTTTTTTTTTTGAGGTGGAGTCTCACTCTGTCACCCAGGCTGGGGTGAGTGCAGTGGCACAATTTCAGCTCACAGCAACTTCCGCCTCCCAGTTTCAAGCAATTCTCCTGCTTCAGCCTCCTGAGTAGCTGGGAGTACAGGTGCATGCCACCACAACTGGCTAATTTTTGGATTTTTAGTAGAGACGGGGTTTCACCATGTTGGTCAGGCTGGTCTCCAATTCCTGACCTTGTGATCCACCCGCCTCAGCCTCCTAAAGTACTGGGATTACAGGTGTGAGTCACCGCACCCAGCTGAAACTTCTTTATAAAGTACCTTTTTCAATGCAGTGCTCTCCCTATTGCAAATTTAGTATCTTATACTACATGAGTATATGTGTACATGTGTACATACACCCATACACACACAGACTTCATAATCCCTGTATTCTGTGAGGCCACTACACTTTTTCCTCAGCTTTCCCCACTGCCACTACCACTACCTCACTGTTATCGTTTTGAGGCCATCAAATGTCAGTCAGTACAATGGTAGTCCTTTCTCTTCCTCTCCATGAACCTGAAGAATGACACAGCCCCCAAAATGGAAATGGATGAGTTCCTGAGTAACAACATAGGGGAAAGCTGCTTGGTAAAATAAGAGCAGTATCACTGGTCTGTTCAATGAGTGAGAAACAAACTTTTATTGTGTTAAGTCACTGAAATTTGGGGTTTGATTACAGAAGCTGGTAATATATATGTAGATAATAATAATAGAGAGATGATGTTTTACACACAAATACATAAATATATTAATGAGATATTTATCTATTAAACTCACAGGTCATAATAGGTATTCCTTGACTACTTTTGTGTGGCTGCCAACAAGGGGAGTCCTGCAGTCTCCTCTGCAAACTGGGGATGATGTTTACAAAGTAAGATTATTATAAGAATTAAAGAGCAGATGTGCCTGGTACAGCACTTCTGTGTCTGATACAAAGAAAGTGTTTGGCATTGGTGGTAATTATTTAAACAAACACAGGAAACAAATAACAGCTATTATGGAAACATATTAGCATTCCTTTACTACCTTATATTTTGTACCTCACCTAATTCTCAAGATGATTTGAGTCAGCTCATTTAAAACATGTTTACCAGGAATTAGTGTTTAAGCAAATCATTTATCACTAAAATGGTAAACCTGGCCAAGTTGGGGCCATTAGTGCACTTCATAACATTTAAAAAGTGCCACTTTTATCCATTAAGAAATGCATAAAAGTTTAATTTGAGGGTGAATGTGGCAATGCTTCTTATTTTAGCATATCTTAAGGAAAATGATGGGAAAACATTCCCATTATCAATTAAGATAAAGGGTCATAGATTTGGGATTTTAAATCAACAGTAAGTGTATACTTTCATTAACAGGTATACCACAGACGAAAAACTCATATGAACACTATATAAATATTAATGACATAAATCTACATCTATTCAAACAACAAACGCATTTAACCAAATATGTGGTTATCTGGTATGTATCAAGTGCCTTGCCAAGTGTGATACATGGGCCCAGTTTTCAAGCACAGCATTTTATATACTAAATCCAGTTTTCCCTGAAAACATTGATTAAAGGTAACTAGATGAATGGAATCCATATTAGATGTGGCCACATAAGTGAAGAAGCCAACTGGCAGAATCTTTGTAACTATGAGAAGTAAAATATATAAAGGCCTGGCACACATAGGAAATCAATATGTGATCACTATTGTCATTTTCAGTACTTTCTCTTCAATAGGCCTCCTTCTAATTATTACTCATACGTACTACTGAAAAGAAATTGCCGTAGACAGAGGTACCGGGACCGTATAGTAAATGAACTTCTTCCTTACACCAAAATGAATTTCTGACTTCCCCAAAGTGAAGCTGTAAATGACAGCTTAAAAATATGTTACCTACTTCCATACATGGCACAAATATCACTTAGAATAGCCCTATTTTGTGAATAATTTTTCTGCAAAGAGTAACAGTATCTAGCCTCATCCAGAGCAGAAGGATGCTAATAGTATACAGTTCATTCCATCAAAAATATGGTATTAACCATGTTTAGCTTTAATCCATTCAAGAAAATTTAATATTAAAAGTATGGTAATACTCTTATAAAAAGTTCATATACATCTTGACCCACAAGCTTTGAAGGCAGAGTGGTTAATGTGCTTTCAGGGCTTAATAAAAATGGAAAATTCATAGTCTGGAACTAGAATGACTTAGCTAAAGGAAAAATTCATTTTTCCCAGGCTCTAGATTAAATGATCCAGAAAGGAGTCAATGGTCATAAATCCCTCAATCATCACAAGGAATCCAATACTTAGAAACGGGAGGCCTTTATTCCACTGAGAGCCCAATCCTCTAAATTCAAAGAAGATAAAATTGAAACCCTGAAACTTGTCATTTTGCCTGAGACCACACAGCCACTTCAAGGCTGGCTGGGGACAGACCCTAGTGCATGGGATTCCCCTGTCTCAAACTCCTTTCCCATTCTCAGCTATACCATGAATAGTAAGCTTTGCTGCCTTCAAACTTTCCCATTCAACATTAAAGTACTCTCCAGGGATGTGGGTTGCAAACATCCCTCACGAGGTGTGCATGTGTTTCTTGGTTTCAGCGATTTAGAAGATGAACCTATGTGCCTTCTACAAAGGAGACCTACAAAAGGAGTCTGCTAAGTCTATCCAGCTATTGTTTCTGTTCTTTTTGGTTTCATGTAGTAGGGGTGATTCTTGATTGAAAGAATTCAGATAACATTGTGGCAAAGTGGTTACCTGTGACGATTTTCAAAGTCCAACATCATTTCTTCTCACTTTAATTCTTCTTTCTCAATATTGTCTCAGAGACTGCCTCGTGGCAGAAAAGGAGCATCTTGAATGTCTGTTAATACTGTAGCTCCCTTCTTTATTGTGGCCACTCAAATGTAGTTAGAGCACTGTAACTTTCCCCAATATAGTGTTAAATCCACAACTTCTAGTTTAAAAAGGTGATACCTCAAAGGCATGGGCATAACTATGGAATTTATTTTAAAAATAAATGCTTTATAAATCTGCATGTCATAGTTATCCAAAGATGCCCCTATGGCGTACAAGCCCATAGATGAAGTCTGCTATATATAATGCAGAAGTTTGACAAGGCTAATAAAATACTATCAAACTTATTTTAAGTTTGGTATTTTGTTCCATATTTAATTGTTACTTATAAAAAGTTGTGAAAACTAGGCAGCAACTGTTCTATTTGATTTCAGAGTCATTAGACTTTCACAGAATATTTCCTACCTGTCTGTGCTAGGATTTTACATATCATCAGCCTAGACAAAATGTGCTCCACACAATGATAGTTCCACTAATTTTTCAAAAAATATGTGTCATGATCAAATGTGTCAGGAGAATATTACATGCATTCTGTATTTTTCTTAGAAATTTGCTATGCACATTAATTTAATGGCTACCAATAAGTCCTACAGCAAAGAAATTTCTTAATCTTGTGTAACTCAGCATTTCTCAAACTCATTTGACTGTGTAATGAGTAGGAACTAGTGGGGAATTAGAATTCTTCAAAACACACCTTGAGACGTGATAACATATTGCATCGAACACCATTCCCAACCTTTTATAATTTATAATTGACGTCTCTGTGTTATGCAGCTTCCTCCATTTGTTCTTATTTCTTCTTAGCCTGCAAGCTATACCAGGACAAGACTTCTCTATGTTTGCTTCTGCATATTTCCAGGGATGAACAGAGAACAACACGTGATTGCCTCTCAAAAAATAATTCTGAATGAATAAAGAAAAGGATTCGTTATTTAAAAATTAAGATGAAACCAGGGGCAAGGGGGTGGTAGGGGAGGATAAAAGACTAAATAGTAGATGAAATATTCCATAAGACTCCTGGCCTGACCTCTTTATTGAAACAGTGTTATAAAAAAGAGACAAATTAAAACAGAATTTACATGAATAACTCTCAGGTGCATGTTGTAATCCTGGATTCAGCATTCTGGTTCAGAAAGGCCTACTGTTAAAACTTTGGAAAAATTTTAATGTGGTATGGGGTAAGAACAAACACATTGTAACAGAAAGAGAGAAATCATTGCTAGTTTAAAATACAGCATAAAATAAATATATTTATGGTTTTGACTAGAAAATACAGTAAAATGTTAAAAGTGGTGGGATTATCATGATTTTATTTTCTTTTTCCAACCTTCCCCTTTAATGAAAAAAGTCTTTCTCCCAAATCCCTGACAGATGGTAACCCAAATTCTGCTTGGATACTTCCAGTAACAAAAATCTCTACCTGGCAAGGTTAGTATGGCACTTTTGGATGGTTACAATTGCAATAAATATGCTTCCTTGTGATTTTCACCCATTGGTATACTAAAGAGGATTCTATCTTTACCAATCTAACTGTTGTGGCTTGAGAAAATGCCATAAATTAAAGCTCAAAAACAAAGAAAATGAAAAAAAAAGCAGAGCTTTATTTTATCTGAATATGTTCTATACCCACTCTGATTGACACTATGCCTATCTTAATTGGTTCATTCCATCAATTTGTTAAATGGATGACTTCAGTGATTATCACATGTACTTTATAAGCACTCCCAGATTTAAAACATCAGCACAAAAATATTTAGAGAGAGAGATTTATTTTCTGGAGACATCCACAGGTATCTACCATTCACTCTAAAGTTAAAAAGAAGTCATCAACTTGTGTTCATTTCTTTTCTTTCAGGAACTCTTTCTTACTAACTTCCCTTCTCCAGGGTGCCCTAGACACTCCACCATATGGTTAAGTGTAACTGCACACTTCTCCACTGAGAAATGACCCACCTTTCAAGTACAAAAGTGGAGCAAAGATGAGACAGTCTCAGAGCAGACCGGCTGGGGAGAAAGGCCTCCAACAGTGTTGGTCCATAAATTCATCCTCCCACCCTATTCCTCTCAAAGGAAACTGAAAGTAATGCTTAGTATTTTCATTGTTAATTTTACAGAAATACTAGGCTATGTATACAACTGAAAAACATAAAGGGACATCCAAGGTCCACAGCAAAGAGCTTACTTTGCGTTATGTAAACTCTACATATACAATGAATTCAATTGTCTCTATCTCACAGCCTCCACTGTATTTAGGCCCCCATCATGTCTCACCTGGATTATTACAACTAGTCTCACTTCATCTGGCCTTGTTACCTCTAAAGCATTTTCCACACTTTTGCTAAAGACAGCTTCCCAAAAGGCAGTTTTGGCCACTGCATCACCCTGCTTACAATTCCTTCAGTAGTGCTCCAGAGCCTTCAGCATAGGGTTCAAACTTCTTAGTATGGGTTATGAGGACCTGCCCAGGCTCACCATTTATGCTTCTGAATATTGAACGTCCTTAATTTGCTTGATCTGCTAGGATCCCGAAGAGCTAGATCTTTGCATAAGCTGTTTCTTCTGTCTGTATGACCGTTCCCTTCTCCTCTTCATTTGAGCAACTCCTTTTCATTCTCTACTAGGTCCTAAAATATATACCACTTTCTATAGGAAGCCCTGTCTAAGGACGGACTCCTCACCTTCACTGCCATCCTCTACCCCTGCATCCTAATCTGGGTTAGACGCCTTCCAGTATACTGTCACAACAATTCATATTTCTCCTGGAACAGTGTTTATAATAAGCCATTGTAATTTCTAATTTGCTATTTCCCCCAGTGGTCTATAAATTGTATTAAAATAGAGACTATGTCTGCCATATTCAGCCTATATTCCCAGTGCCTAGCAATGGCACAGAACAAGCAGTTAATAAGGTTGGTTGGGAACTCACCAATATAAGAGAAAATGGAGGTCACTACCTTTGCTTTCATTGAGCTGAGCATCATTCTTTTTAAGGCATACATAGCTTTCTTTTCATAGAAACTCTGCCCTGACCTCTACTGAATAAACAGGTCTTCCAGTTATACAATGTCAATTCATTTTATAGTACCTGTCCAAAAGCATCCATTTGTAGCCATAGCAAACCAATAATTCCCTTCGAAAATCAGCCCTCTCCCACTCCATGTTCATGTCATTCAGATGGTACTGACCTACCCCTTCTAAGGTGTTCATGAGAGATAACAACTGCTTAGATTATTTCATCCTCCTAGTTCATAGATTGCCATGTGATTCAAGCTAGGTCAATGGTCAGTGAGACTCAATTCTGCAACTCCTATTGTAGCAATTTGGAAAAAAATAATCTGTTTTCCTTTACACCCTGGAACTTTCCAGGGCAGAGTGATTTGTGGGGTGTTGCAGTGGGTGTGGGGGTGCATTAGGAAAGCACCTGCCTGGGAATGAAGGCAACAAAAAGGAAAGTACAGCCAAAAGATGGAAAATGGTTGGTTCTTGATGGTATTGCTTGAGCACCTAGTCTCAGTCATACTCTAGACCAAAATAACCCCTTGTTATTTTAATTACTGGGACTGGGACAATACGTTCCCTCTTTGCTTATGCCTATTTGTGTTCTGTTTCTGCCACTGGCCATTTAAGTAAACTGTAATACATTGAATGTATACTTATGGTTACGGTAGTCACAGACAGATGGGTCTACACTGAACTTTGAAGAATAGAAAGGATTAGCAGAGAAATAAAAAAGGCAAAGGGTCTTCCTCTTCAGCTACACAAATATTTCTCAAACATCCACCCTGTACCAGATCACTTGTTTGGAAATAAGCACCATAAAATTAATAAGACAGCATTCCTGCCCCTAGAGTTCACAGAGTTTGGTCTGTACATTTCATCTACCACAAATGAGCAGCCTCTGGAAGTAAACATCTTGCCCATTGACTCTAAATTCCTGGAAAATGCGCACTGTAAGGCACGTTGTCAACAATGATGGATTGCATTTTAATCTCTTACATATATCACTGAAAAATGTTCTGATCCCGTCTATGATATGCCCCAGCCTGGTTCTTCCAGGCATACCATCTCAGCCTGGGCACACAACAGGTTAGTCTGGAAGGATGGCACATCGATTTGAAGTGCATCAGTGTGTGGCATGTGAAGTGAGCCATGTCATGCATAAATTTATTCATCATCTCGGTGACTTTCTTTGTGCCACTCTGAAAAAGACAGATATGCTTTTCCCTCCCATTCAGTTCTATCCTCCTAAGTCTCCTCCTCCATGGCTGGAGATAATAAATACTCATTTCAGAGAGGCTTCAGCTCAACACTGGCACTCTTCTGTTTTCCAAATGCCAGAAAGGTCATTGTGATGAACTACCTCAGACAAAGAATTTTGGACATCATTGAACATAGCTCATGTGCCACTAGCTTTTTGATATCCTCTGAAGTCAGGTAGAGAAAGAATCTTTACCAAATCTAACAGGAGAAAGGCTGAAATTAAGTCTTCAATTTAGCAACAAGACTAGGGAGTTCCTAGGCAAATTTCAAGTAAATTACAAGTTCCTTATTCCATAGCTTGTCTTCATGCTGCCCAGAAGAACAAAGAATTGATATTCTTTCTAGGTCTGCCTGCCTTTGTGAAAACACAGATACTGAAAATGTTCTTTTCCCAATATTTTCTGGTAAAAACTACTCATCTTTTGTTCCTTGCTCTTTTGTGCGGTGACAAGCCAATCAGGAAAATCATTCTACGTTTTGGTATTTTTTAGCTCATTATAGCACTTTCATTGATATATATAAAACAATCCTAGATGAATGATCACAGAGACCTTCAATACTTTTCCCAAAGTGGTAAAGTGGTACAAATTGGACTGGAGCAGGTAATAAGAGAGATTTGAGGGACAGTCATTGTCATTCCCATTGCCCACACTCTTATTGAATGCTTCCGTGAAAAATGCCATGCATGATCAATTGTAAACATACTACTATTTGGGTTGAAAACTATGGAACTTGAATGAAAGGGAAACACTCAAATTCATTTTTGGCATATGGAGTCAAACAGAAAAGGTTTTAGAAAGGTTGTTAAATGTGAGGACAGTACTTCCTATCAAGCCCATGCATGGGTTTGGAACCCAGTCCTGGTTCTGCTCCTGTTTCATTTGTATGAATTTGGCCTGCTTATTTATCCTTTCTGTCAGTTTTCTCATCTGTAAAATAGTAACATTAATGCCCAATTTCCAGAGTAGTTGTGAAGACTAAACAAAATAACATGTAAAAAGCTCTTTCTCTAGGACCTAATATATAGTAAACACTGGATAAATGGTAGCTGGAGTTACAGGAATTACAAATGGTTAAAGAGAACTCTCCCACTGCTGTGCTCCTAAATTCTTACAATTTGTACTTTTACTACCCATGAGTTCGAAGAAGAGTTTGGCAGTTCCTAACACTGAAAAGCTATTGACTGATCCCAGATGATCCAGTGTCATAGGCTAAACATCCCTTAAGAACTACAAGAGAACAGAGTTTGTCCATCTCTATTAAAATACAGATGAACACTTTTTTATATACCTTCCTTCACAAGAATAATTGATCAGGTGAATGGGATAAACAAATCAATCATTGTTCCTCCTCTATGGCTTTGTCTTTTAGTAGGATTACTGCTTCAAGGGTCAAAATGATTTGGATGAAAAGTGGAGGACCCTAGAGAGAATGGAATAGAAAAATTTGGCTTGACACAAGTGGATTGGAGTTTTGCTTTTAGTTTTTTTTTTTTTTTTCCACTTCCTTCTAAAAGGAACTTAAGACTCCAATCACTTCAAGAGGCCCTACCAGTCACATACTGATATGGACATTTAGGTTTAGTCCTAGGAGTATGTTTTGGGGCCAGTAAACCTTGTTCCTTAGCCTCTGGAGGAAGGATATGCTATTTCTCTCACTGTGGTCTTTAGTCTTCTTTACCTATGGATCATTACCTCACTTTAACATGTAGTTTTGGTGAAATATGATTGTATAAATATGTTTTTACAGCTAGAAAGATACTTATGAAACCTCTAGGCTGAGAAAAAAGATATTGCCTCTAACTACTTTATGATTATTGGCTTTTGATTACAGAATGTTTTAAAGAAATCTCCCAGTTATAAAAATGGCTGATTTTTGCACATTGCAGTTATATTTTTATTATCCCCAGTGCTAAAATTAATTTCTCTTCTAAATTCTCATATAATCCATTCAATAGTCACTACACCAAGAAAGATCCTTTCCAGACTAA
The DNA here is from genome assembly GCF_000001405.40 of Homo sapiens. Classification (NCBI taxonomy): domain Eukaryota; kingdom Metazoa; phylum Chordata; class Mammalia; order Primates; family Hominidae; genus Homo; species Homo sapiens. The sequence continues at coordinate 161,488,736 of NC_000005.10, forward strand.
AGCAAAATATGTTTATCTGTTTCTTTGTTACTAATGTTATGTGGTTCCTTTCTGAGAAAAAAAATATTTACAAAAGGTATACACAAATGTCATGGCTATACAGCAAGCAATTGGTGTCATTCCTAGCTAGGAAAAAATAGTTAGCAAGCTCATGAACCAAAAATGTGTTCATGGTTATGTTGCAAAGATCATGATTTTTTACATTATGTTAAGTGACTATACTTTGAGTTTGTGTCAAGAGATAAACATGTTATTAGAGATGAGAGATGCTTTCGAAAGAAATGCAAGACATGCTGAAATTTAAGCTGATCATCATCTGATGGTTGAAACTATGAAATCTAATGAAACCGCTGCCATTCTTCAAACAAATAGACTATTAGTGCTGAGAATGGATGGCTTGTGAGTAACAAAGCCATAAGTAATAGATTTTCTAATCAGTTTCTTCCCTACAGAGAAGATCAGCCTAGTTTTTGCTTAAACTGTTTATTTTGTAGTAATATGAGCACAGTAGAAGATAGAATGACCCTTATATTTATGTATACAGCTTTTTCTTAGTAGCCCATGAAAAAAGGCAAGCAACATAAATGAGGCAGATAATAATGGGTAACATTGATTTAGCTCGCAGTCTGTGCCAAGCAATTTACATAAATTGTATCACTTAATTTAATCTTCACGAGTAATGTTATCAGATAGACATTACCATCATCTTTCTTTCTTATGTATGAGGAAAACAAAAGACAAACAGAGTAGATAAATTTGTTAAGGTCACACTGGTAGGAAATGAGAGGATCTAAACTCAAACTCAGGTGGTTTGACTAAGGAGCTGAAGTCTTCACTAGCTTAGCATCTCAGTGAAATTACTGAGACAGGCTACATTGATAAAGGTATATCAGGTCATAAGCTCAAGCAATATTTCAGCTGCCATGTAGGTCTTTTTCTGCACAGCAAGTTAAATGAACTGCATTGAGGGAATATTTAGTCAAGAAGCTGTTCTTTGAGAAGCAAAGAAAAAATGCTACCCAAAAATGTTTAGCCTTAGGCTTATCAAAAGTCACTACTTACATTAAGCCTAATAGCTTTAGGCTTATTTTAGTCACCACTTGAATATAAGAATACAAGCTCCTTCTCTTTATGAGATTGCACTGTTTTATAAACTTAAATCCAAAGTTAAATCAAATGTTTCCCTAAAGCATACCAATGGGTTTCAAATTATAAATTGTGGATCAGGGGATACGGAAAATGATTTCTGTAGTTAAGTCAGAAAATCCAATGTTTGTGCTGTAAGCATAGAAGCTGATCACTAGACTTCAGAGAAAAAAAAATCTGCCCTACATATAAATGTTTTCAGCAAAAATATTGTCTCAGCTGTAAATGTGTTTAGTGATAAACCATTTATGCCACTTACCTATACTTACTGTCTCTGGCTAGGAGCCTTAACAATTTCACAAATTAATTATCTCGTTTTGTGTTACACATGCCATGTCTAAAAACAATTTTTAAAAATATAAACTGTATGTCCAGCATTTTGAGAGATAGAATAAACATAAATCTCCACAATAAAAAAATGTCCAAAGAAGTCATAAACATTTGAGAGTACCAGTTGAGAATTCAGGGTTAGAGCCTGGTCAGAGCCTTGTGAACACATGGTTCACAAGGGTGGTTTACAGTTTATCACCAATGTGAACTCAAGTCACATAGGCACCTCCTAAAGCCTTTTCATCAATTATAAAATAAGGATGAAAAACTCTGCCAGATTGAACCCTTATGAGGCTTAATTGAGATATTATAAGTCATTAAGCATTTAGTGTACTGCCCAGCACAGCAGAAGTGCTCATAAGCATCCAGAATCATTACTGTCTACCCAGCCCATAAACTCTAAGACTGTTAAACTCATCTCAGTTTTACAGAAGAGGAAACATGGGTCTAAAATTAGTGAGTAACTTGATAGAAATTTCAAAGCCTTATATAGTACTTGTCACACAGTAAACTCACATTAAATTTTGATAAGGAGTTAATAAAAACACGTAAGTGCCTCCTGGTGAACATTTTCTTCAAAACATTCTCTCAAACTATGCTTCAAGAGCAAGATATCCTTTCTCACGTGCTTATTGTTATTAAGTTGTTTCTAAAAAGTTCTTTCCTCTGGGTCTGTCTCCAAATAACCGTCAGGTTAATGCCAATTGAGAGATTTGCTTCCTCACTCTAGTATCCAATTACTGTTCTGGGAGGGTTCTTAATGCTATCACAATGCCATCGGTCCCTTCCTTGTTTGTAAAACTTTCTGCATAAAAGGGAAGTGCTTTTTGGGAGTAGATAAAGCCAGCATTATAAAATTAAACTAATACTTACCAAATATGCCCATGACAGCAAAATTGATTTTTAAAATGACATAACTGTGGGTCTTGTAATTCACAAAAAGGTCAGAAAAATAGTAATAATAAAAGAAAACAAGTTTCCTATGTATGATGCATGAGTTCCAGCAAATTATTTATAGTAAAAAATTGTTGCTATATATATAATAAAGGTAAAAACTGAATGAGGAGTTGGAATACCAAAGTTTGATCCTATGAGATTTAAGTCAATGGCTCATGACTTAATGGCACTTACCATTAGTTAGCGTTCCTTAAGAAAGAAATGTATTTATTTATAGTTCATTAGTTCATGTTCTCGATTTAAAACTTCTCAGATGCAAATACAATTTATGGGAATTATGCAAATTAAACTATTAGAATAATTACAGAAAAGCAATTATTTGATCATCTGATAAGAACGGTACTGGTTCCAAACCAGAAGAAAGGCTTGTGGAGATGTCATTTGGAATCCTTTTTAAGGCCCCATCAATACTGCAATGATTGTTTTATTCATTTGGGGAGGTGTTTGCCTGAGGGTATAGTGGGAAGCACCCCATTCAGAACCTTCAAAACCAAGAAGGATGACTGGTCTTCCAGCTCTTAATTATAAAGGTAAGAGAGGTACGCCTAGAAAATTCTCAGCTTGAGAACTCTATTCCATATTTTACTGGAGATTATGTCTTAGAGCAAATTAAGTAAAATGGCATTCTGAATTGCAAACACACTGCATTCTGTCTACAAAGGAGCATCTGTTTTATCTTTCGATATGCATTCAGCCTCATGAACAGAACCAAAATGAGTAACAAGAGGCAGTGACATATCTGTCAAGTCTTGATAACCTTAATAGCATCATGTGAACTGCTCAGTAATGAAAAGAATGTGCTATGGAGGGTGACTCCCTGTAACTCAGATGCAAAAACAGATTAATAACTAAGTTAATGTACCCATTACTGAAAAAAAAGTATAGTAGGTTTGTGAATTCTATCTGATTAAAGTCCATATTTCAATCTTGCTTTTTAAATAAGAACTTATGCCTTTACTGTAAGATCTCAGAAAGTAAATATCATTAGGATTCCAGAACTTTTCTTAAAATTGACTCATAAAATACCTTTCATCATGCCTATAATCCAAGCAGAGGGTCTTAATTTAGTAATTAAAAAATAATCCTCCATGTTTTATCATTGGACGTTATCGTTTGTGCTTCTTCGTCTCTTCTCTTTATCTAATCACATTGAATCTGCCCTCTAAATAGCTACAGAATCTAGTCCCTTCTCATTATTCTATTCCCTACTTGATAAGTGATCGTCTATGCCTGAATTAATGCAGGCCTTAAAAGTTCTTCTTGCTAATCATCCCATTTCCTTGAAACCCAAGGAAGACTGTTAAACTAAGCCGTGTTAAACACGTCACACGGCTACCAGGGTCTAATGACTTTGCATTTCTTTATTGTTTTCCTTTGGAATTTCTTTGTTGTAATTTGTGTGTGTGTGTGTGTGTGTGTGCTTTTTACCCACACTACACAGATGTATGTTAGTTGTAATTTAAATAGTAACAAAGACATATTTGGTCATAAATTCTAATAATGAAGTATACAACGTAAAAAGGAAATGCTCCTTTGTTACCAGTTTTACATCTACACCACAAAAGGTACCCACCGTAAAACAGTCTGGTATGAGTCAAACGGGATCGTCCTGCACATGTTTAGCTCCACAGGCATTTTCACTCTATGATAGATCTCAGACATCTTTCAAATGAGTACATGTGAGTTTACTTTACTCTTTTTATTTCTACCTCGTATTCTATTTTATTGGCTTACAAAAGTATATACATTTCTTCTCCCATTGACAGATTTTATGTTTTTTCAATCTTCTTGTTACAAATAATGCTAGAACAAATATCATTGCAAATATATATTTTTGCACTAATGCCAGCATTTCTGAATGATAGATTGCTAAAAGAAAGATTGTGTTAAGTGAAAGTAAGCTGCACCAAGTGATATATGAATTTTTAATTTTGATACATACTATTAAATGGCAAACAAAAAGTTTTGAATTGTTTAGAATACAAATAATATTTGAATGTCTTCCAAAAATAAGGTGGTACCTCTTTATTATTCTAATTTATAATTCCCTTAATTTTGACTGAAGCTGAGGAACATTTCACAATGCCTCTTCTCATTTTTCCATTTTTTCCTTATTGATACAAATGAGATGCTTAGATATTGTAGATAATTACATTTTGTTCTATGTGTCCCCACCTCCAACCCCCCGCAACAATTCTGGAAAATAAGTATGAGAGAAAAATCTTCTAATTTATTAATTATAAGTTTTGCCATGTAGCTACTAATCATTATAGTTATTTCATTATTTCCCCATTGGTTTGAAATGTCACCTTTTTATATGCTAGGTTTCACTGAGCTACTTAATTTACAAATTTACTCTTCGAGATGAGAGATTCTGTTTAAAAAAAATTCTCATTGAAATTTTGATGAAAATTCCAATGTGTTTTCAGATCAATCTGGAAAAACTGCTGTCTTTATACCATTGATTCCAACAAAGTAAGAAAGTGTATATTTTAAAAATTATGCAGGTTTAGTTTTGCTCTTCCTTCCACAAATAACTATGCATATTTCAGGGTATGTTTCCATCACATTGTAATGGATTGTTGCTGGTACAGAGGAAAACTACCAATTTGATAGAAGTATCTGACCAACTTCATGGACTATCTTTTTAGAATCTAAGGAAATTATATTATATTTTTTGCCTTTAATCTATTCATATAGTGAATTATCCTAATGCATTTGCTAATGTTGAAGCATTCTAGGTTTATAAAACTCTTACTTGATGTGAAGTAATTACATATGTTAAGTAGCTTGATTTAGTGATTCCACAATGTGTACATATTCCACAATGTATACATATTTTGCAACAAATACATACAATTTTTGTCAATTAAAAACCAAAATTTAAAAATCCTATTTAATATGGTACATCTTTCTCAAAACACACTGCTAAATATATATCTACAGTTACCATAAAACATAATCTCTAAAAATATCACAAACTTAAATGCTTATAGCAGCCAAGCATTGTAGGTACTATAGTAGTGACAAGATTGGATAAACATTCCTTTCTTTCAACTAGATTATTAGAGCTTGTAATCTATTTAGAAAGATACCCAAAAACATTATATGAGTTATTAGATTGTAGTATGCTATTGACTGTCTACACTTGATGACACAAAAAGAAGAATTTAAGAATGCTTACTGGATTACGTAATAGATGAGAAGAGACCATGAGAGTTGACTTTATTTTTCTCCTGCTGTCCTAGCTCCAATATGTAAATCATGGTTGTTTTACTGTATACTGTCTAAGTAAGTTGACTTATGGTTAGAAACACATTTACACTCACAATTTAAAAGGCAGTGGGAATATATTTACTGTTAGGTATGCGTGTGTGTGTGTGTGTGTGTGTGTGTGTGTGTGTGTGTACAATTACTGACAACTGAAAACATTTCCAGAATCTTCCAAAGTATAAAAAGTAAGTTTACTTTTCTAAGTGGAGAAGTATTAAATGTGAAGGGTTTTCTTAAGTGAGTCCATATTTTGCACTATATAATTTACTTGATGTTTCTCCAGGCAGCAAATAATGTTCACAAGGGAATACTGAACATTTTCAAACTTTAAATGCCACCTGGTGTCTTTGATGTTTTTAATTGTATTTAAGGAAAGTTCAGATCAGTAAGGAAGCATTTCATCAACATTTGTCATAATGCTTCCTCCAAGACAGTATATGCTATTACTCAGAAATTCTCTCTATATAAGTAGTAAAAATTTAAAATATAAGCCTATATAAAGTATTTTGATTGTTTTCAGGCTTTTAACTCATCTTTCCTAGTACTTTGACATTTGAAATTCTAATTGAATTACAAAAGATTCCTTATTTAAAGTGGTTGCTGTTGTGATTGTTTTTAGTTAATACCAAAGATCACATGATGCTTAGTCACAAATTAACATCCAGCTATTCCCAAAGTTATAATCTTCATATTTTGAACACTTAAAAGTTTATTCACAAGTATTATTCCATTTCTATATGGTAAATGTCAGATCATCTGAACACTGTTATTGTAAAGAAACTTTCCTTGAATAAGTCCTACCTTAATACTCAGGAGTGTTATCTATTATTTATAATATCTAGTTATTTGAAACCTAAGTTTGTTCAAAAATAAATATAACAATAATATACAAAAAATCAATGATTATTCTATGGCAAAATACTATAGAAGAAAGAAAAAACTGATTAACATAGCAAAATAATTTGAAAACAAGTGAATGGTTTAATGCCATTAGACCTTATGAAAAAATCCTTCTATTTCACTGATTTTAATGAATTTTTTTAATGATTTTTTTCTAATAAAGAAATTTGAAAACGTTTGCCCCAAATTATCCTGATAGTTCACTATATCAAGGTATCCCTGAGAAATTAAATGTTAACAACTCAAAATAGTGTATTCTATACTCCAGAAGGTGAATGGCATTCAAGGCTCAATAATTAAAATTGTGGCCATAAATGGAAGATTTCTTTGCTAGTATTTGTAGGTTTTCAAGCATGTTATTAGCTGAACCAGAGATAAAGTCAGGGGCAACTCCAAAAGGAGATGTACTACTGCAAAATAGGGGCTGTGTGAGACTTCCTCATGAGGTGGCAGCACACAAGAAAGGGATTTTGTAGTTCCCTATCCTTATATCTTCTATAATGAGTTGGAAAATTAAAATAAACTGAAGCAGATAAGCTGGCATGCTTCCTTTGATCTACTACTGCAAACCTTCATATTATACATTCTGTAATCAAGTAGAACTTCACATTTGCATCCCCACTGGACTTATGAGAAGTCAGGAATGTTGCTATAACCCACACGGGAAGGTGGAGGTGTTAAGGAGGTCTACTAGCAATGGTGACAAGAACATACCATCTCCGCTTTCTGAGGCTGTTAAGCCACTGGGAACGGGCCACCAAACTGCAATGTGGCACAGGAAGAAAACTCAGAGAAACCTGGGAGTGATCCCTGATTCTATTCCTTACTAGCTGTGTGATTTGACTTTGAACTAATTATGCAACCTCCCCAGCTCTTTTTTCCTACCCATAAGATGTGATCATAATACCTCCTTAGAGGATTGTTAGGATTAAGTAAATCAATCATTCAAAATGTCTAAACAAGTAGATAGTAGCTACACATTATTTTGATTCATTTTTTAATTTATTTAGTCTCTAGTTAAGATTATTTTCTCAAAATTAAAATGCGGTTTATTGATTTTCTTAGAAAAATAATCAGCTAGTTATTTAACAACATATATGTACCTTGAAATATTATGTTATACATGATAAATATATAGTTATCTGTCAAATTAAAAAAGAGAAAAAAGAAAAAAGAATCCATAGTAATTGTAGAAAAACTGGAAGTCAGAAAAAAAAAAGAAAATAAGCCTAATCTACAACCTAGAAATAACCACTGTTAGTGGCTGTCATATATCCATACAGAAGAGCAATATGAGCATTTTATGACCTTACTAAATGTGATATTTTATTTTTAAAATTTAAAACGTATCTTAGGTATATTCGACATCATAATTTTAACATCTGCAGAGTAGTTACTTCAGTTTTAGACACCACCAATACTCTTGTACTGGATAATGTGATATTTTTCTTTGTAACATTTTTTTCAACTAATATTGATAACTCTGCAAGGTGCATTCTTAAATATTACATCTTTATGCCCTTGGCAAAATATTTTATCCAAGAATAGTTTAATCATATATATGTATACACCCATATCAAATTTACTAAAACTGCTTATAATAAGGCTGTATTTCCCATCAAACTCATGATCCTCAGATGCCTTTGGGTATTTTTCCATTCACAAAGTACAGAATTCAGTAACATCCAACATTTAAGGGGAGACATCCCTCATCCTCATGTTAGAAGTTTTGTATTTTAGGTATGAAATGTTTAAAAACTGAGTTCAAAGTTATTGAACCTCCCAAGATAAGTTCTATGGGAGCTCTTGCATTATGCTTTAGATCAAGAATATATTGTTGAAACTCACAGGTGATCCCAACATGATTGCATAACTTCTTTAAGTCCATAAGGCAGCAGTGTCCCTTAGAAACAGTTCTCTTAACATCTGGCAAACCTCTCCCAAACCCTGATCTTTAAGGCTTGCTACAGGACTGAATCTGAAGGACACAGCCCCAGGTGTGGTGATGGACATTAGCACTTCTCAGGAAGAAAGCACCATTGAGCCTATGGCATGAGGATTGCTAAAGTGTTCTATCTCATAGCTGGAAACTAATCTGAACTCAGGAGAGTATAATCATGAGATCCCATGGGGACTCAAGTTTTAAATGCATTGCCATTTTGGACTTTGTGTGTGTGAGTGTGTGTATATGTGTGTGTGTGTGTGTGTGTGTGTGTGTTTTATTTAGTAACAAAGACTAGAATCTCCCAAGGCTGAGTTCAGTCAGTATGTGATGCTGATGAACACCTGCAAAGCCTAGACTATGAGACAGCACAATCAAGACAATAATACCAACATCATTCTCTTCACAAGATCCCTTAGCTACTTGTCCACTCTGCCCTCTAGAACATTACACAAGCTAAGTTCTATTACAGCCTTTCAAGGTGAGTGGTAAAGGAGACAGAGAGGCCTTGGGGCATTCATTTCATCTTCAGCTAGGATGCTGGCCTGCCCTCAAACCCAGCTGGACTAAAGAAGCCTCTGGTGACTCTGACTTTGCTCTTGGAGTGCAGCTGTCACTTGTCTATCTCTTTGAGTAAAAATTTCCCTTATTTGGGGTTTTTAACTCAAATGCAAAATTATTTTAAAACTAAAAGAGAGTGAAATGTTTCTTTGAGAAACATTCTGAAATACTCAACATTAAGAAATAGAGTAAACATAGCTTCACCCATAATTTTTGTTGAAAAGCTAACACATAATGCAGCCATAAAAATAATACTTTATTGCATGAAATTTAGAAGGCTTTCCATGGATCTTTGAGTCATGTTTCAGACCTATGTGAAACAAATATAAAAAGAGAAAGGGGACTGACATGGATGTCTTAAAATAAATCATATTGGGTCCTTATAAGTATTCAAATAACAAAAAGTGTATGTGTCACGTAATGCTTCACATTAACTCTCCTGGATATTTTTGATGAACCACCACTCTTTCGTTAATGAAAAGTTGAGACAGAGTCAAAATCTTTAGTTTTTTTTTTTTAGCTATACTTAAAATGGCATAATGCATTTCTATTCTGTATCTATTGGCTTTGAGATGCTGGAGCTGAAATGACCCCGTATTTTGGTTGAACAGCTGTCCATGAAGTTGCACTCACCAAATCAAGAATGATAACCTACTAAATTCTTCTTGCAGGTACCCCTTTTCAAAGCCTATGCATTCATCATTTTCTTCAATACTACCTTATCAATCACTGTATTTTTAAAATGTTGGTAGAAGAGCTGAGGCAGGACTGGCTTGTCTGTCATAATGTAAAAGAGTCTTGGAACATGATCTGGGTCCAGGGTCCAAACTCCCTCATGGCCTTTGGAACACAAGGCTCTGTGCCAAAGGGTGGAAGTCTGCCCTGACACACCACAATATAAGCCCAGGCATAAAACCCCTTGTGGCTTGAATGGAATCCAAGGCTCAGGGCATAAAAGCCCTCGTGGCTTCTGGAATGTGCACAGACTTGTTGGTTCCTTGCTTCTTGCTCTCCCAGGCTCATAAACATGTTCTCCATTATCTTAAGCAGTAGAGCATATTACATATGCATCAAATAAAATGCTAAACCGTCACAGCTACGCTTGATGCTCTGCTACCTTTCTACCCCCACGTCCTCACGTCCTCACATCCTCGAATGTTTACCCCCACATCCACACATCCTTACCACCTGCTTCTTTGTTTGATCACCAATAAATAGTGTGGGCTTCCAGAGCTCGGGCCTTCACAGCCTCCATACTAGCATTGGCCCCCTGGACCCACTTTATGCACTCTTCACTTGTCTTGTCTCATTCCTTTGACTCTGCCGGACTTCGTAGCCCCCACTGCCAGGTGTTGGGGCTGATCACCCCAACAAAATATAATTCAAAATAGAAAAATAAGTATTATTTCTCTCTCTTATTTGAGAGAGAAACCATGCCCCACTTATTGTGGCTCAAATTATGAGCAATAATAAGTAGCAAACATGGGAACAGCAAACTGGGAGTCAAAATGACTTTAAGCAAATAATTCTCCTTATTGGGGTCCATTTATTCATCTCTAACATAAAGACTAGCTAACTTCCATAGGCCCTTGTCAGCTGTGAAAGTTCATGGACTTCCTCCTAAACACCCAACGGTTTAAGATTTCAATAGGCAGTTGAAATTAGTCAAGTGTATGCAGTGTAACTATCTCCAAATGATGGAATTTCAGAACCTCTGGATATCACCAATACCATACTTGTTAATGGCCATGCAGTATTTTTAAAACAACCAACTAAACAAAACTAAAATACAACAAAAATAATTGTTCTTCTAATATAAGAACTATCCAGGGAAACATTTTCAAGTAATTTATCACAATCCCCACTGGATAGACTGGATAAAATAAAAGCATGGAAAGGTCAAGCGTTCTGTCATCATTCTAGGAGGATGCATAAGGCAGTGGTGGCAGGGGGCAGTGCAAAGCATGGTGAACATGAATGCTTCCTAAATTGCCTTGCTTGTCTCTATTAATAATTTTTTTTTAGAGAAAGTACTATATCTTGTAGCCCTTCACACTCTAAGATGAGGAAAATTGATTTCATGGTTCAAATACCAAGCCCACTGGCTAGGAGAGCAATGAAAAAAAGAAGTCATTCAAAAACAATAAAACAAGCCAAGTGGTTCAAAGTCCTCAGGATGTAAGTTCCATGAATTCTATGAGTGCAGAATTTTAGCTTTAAAAATAATTGAATATGTTGGTTTTCTCTTAGTTCATTTACTAAGATAATTTTTATCACCCTGAGGATAATGTTCCCGAGTCCACTACAGAGAATGGCACTGAGGATATGGATATCCAAGGCTGAATATTCAGACTACTACTTACTGTGTGTCCTTAATTAAGTAAACTAAGTACCTCCATCTTTCTGAGACTCAGATTTGGTTTTATGAGTTTGGTTGGTTGGTTGGCTTTTTTTCTCCTTTTTTCATTCTTTGCTTTTTTTTCCACCCACATATAAAACAGATGGCTGGAGTGGATGACCCTGAAGTCAATATAGAGTAATGCAAAGAACACAGCCTTCCTTAGGGTTCTGGTAAATGGGCCTCCATTTGATTGTTACCAGGATAAAATGTATATTAAGTGCCTATTATTTTGTGTAATCTGTAACAGGGAATTGGTTAATAGATTTTTTGGCTGGCTTCTTTCTCATTTCTGTTGTCCTTGTTGTGTTTTCCTTTCCCTTCTCTCACTTTATAATCCCTTTTCAAGTAATGTCTAAACTACTAGCATGAATCTTTCTTATGTCTGCAATGATTATAGACCCATATGTAAAATATTTTTTCTTTGTGAAAGTAAAAATCCATTTCATTGCAGGGAGATTATTGATAAGTGAATTCCATTTCAGATTTTATGCCACTGAAAGATGTTTCCAAACATAACAGGCAATGTCAAAATTTCCCCCAAATGTTTTAAACTCAAATTGTTAACTTAATCAAATGTTTCTTGATTTTTTTTTCTTTTATTATTATACTTTAAGTTTTAGGGTACATGTGCACATTGTGCAGGTTAGTTACAAATGTATACATGTTCCATGCTAGTGCACTGCACCCACTAACTCGTCATCTAGCATTAAGCATATCTCCCAATGCTATCCCTCCCCCCTCCTCCCACCCCACAACAGTCCCCAGAGTGTGATGTTCCCCTTCCTGTGTCCATGTGTATTTTTAAATGGGCATGTATCATCTAGTTACAGAATGTTTTAAATAATAAACTTCCAGCACTAGTGTAACATCTGAAAAGGTCCTGAATAAGTGGCCCTGTAAAAACATTCATTATAAACTCACTGAATAAATTATAAAACTATCTAGAAATCAAGAAAAAAATCACAAAGAGCTACGCGCATGTATGAGATTTGCCTTCTAAAAGAAGTCTGAACTTCTTTTTAAAAAATATGCTTTGTGACAAGTCTTTGTTAAAAAAAAAAGTGCTGTGGGTAGTATTCAAAGGATGAGAAAATAATTTGCCTTTAGCAAGGTGGAATTAATTACCTTTCAACAGAGAGTTGTGATTTTTCCATTATCTATTTTATATAGCAGTATTCTTTTGAGTGCTTTATTTTTGAAGTTGTTAACTATGCTACTATGCTATTTCCCTTTTGACAGTTTAAAAGATAGTGACCTAATTATGCTTTCATTTTTCAATGTTATTGGCACAGATTCAGAGACCCACTAACTTAAGTGCTGGGGCTTAGCTTACTACCACAGTTTTTCAATATTGCACAGATATTCCTAATGTATTTTCCAAGGATAATTTGGCAAAATTTGTTTGACATTGAACCCGATTATCTTTTAGGTGTATTGTGTTTGTGTCTGCATTTAAATATAGGTTTTCTCTTGTTATTCTTATCTACAAGCAAAAGAAAACCAGATAAGTTAAATAACCTAAAATATAAATTAAATAACCTAAATATAAGTTAAATAACCTAAAAATATAAACTATAACCTAATATGAAATATAACCTAATAACCTAAAATATAAGTTAAATAACCTAAAATATAAAATATCTTAATAAACATTTCATTATTAAAATTATTTTATATATACATATAAAATAAATGTAAAATATGTAAAGTAAATATAATATAAATTACTTTACACATTTTAAATTATAATTACTTCATGAATTTATTTTATATTTATTCTTATATGGTATATAAAAATTTTATATATTTAAGGTAAAAATGTTATATTATCTTACATAACATACTTTATGCATTATATAATTTATAATAATTTTTCTACATTTTCATAACGTTAGGAAAACCTAAATGTACCTTCATTATGTTGATGGGGAAATCATGATCTAAATTAAAATATAAAACAGGGTGAAAAAATAAAGTTGATTTGATACAATGAACTTCACTATACTATAGACTTAGCTATATTCCAGTATAAATTATGATAAAAATAGATTAATTAAAATATCAGTACTTTCATTATTTAATATACTCATAAAAGAAATGCATTATTTATTAGAATAGATACAAAACACATACATTTGTCTGCAAGAATTGGGCTAATCTACAAATCTAATGTTATCTTGGATGAGCAATACGAGATGAAAACATATTTCTAACTTCTGGTTCTGACTATGAGGAGTATGAGAATCAGACATGTTGCCACACCTCATGTTTCTTCTCTCTCTACTGCCTACTTTAAACAGTCAATCAAACTGTATGAAATATATGAATCAATTGTGTTTAAGTATTGAACATCAGACAGCCCAGGGCTGTGATCTTTAGAGGAAAGAAACATGGGAAATTGAGGTTCGTAAACACCACGACTTCCTGCCTGGGATCAGTGCCTAAAGCACAGCAAAGGAAATTATACCTTCAACAGGGAGCAATACCTTGGCTAGGAAGAAAAAAGATTAAGATTTGGAGGCTGATGAAGTAGCCGAAATTTGTAAAGCAAACTACTGGGTAGGATACTGGAGAGGAGGGAGTTGCACAGAGAAGAAACTACAGAAATCTCCATAAGGTTTTTTCATTGAGACATGGCCAAATACTAAGCTGTGGTTGAACAGGTGAAAACTTTCTAAGGCCTTGTAGAAAACAATTTCTGGAGATGTGTGAGCTGACTGGGAATTACACAGGTCATACAGTATTTGCAGACACTGGACTTCCAACAAGACAGAAGATGAAAAACATTAAAGGAACTCCTAGACTAGAAGCAGCAAGAAAATGAGACTGATAAATGGGAAAGAAAATAGTTGGTGAAAGAAGATCAAGAGGCGATTGTTGTTATTGTTTTTTTTTTTCCAGAAATTTTGGTATTCTTAGATAAAGACTTTAAAAGAGTTTTTATACATATTTTTATGTATTCAAGGGAAAAGGATGTGTATAATAAGATAACAGATGGGAAATCTCAGCAGAGATATAGAAACTATTTTTAAAAATCAAGTAGAAATTCTAGAATTGAAAAAGAGCAGAAAAATTGGTAACTAAAAGATCTTCAATAAGCATGGCAGAAAAGAATAAAAAAGAGGAACAAAAGACACTTAGGACAAATGGAAAAGAAATAGTAATAAGGTTGGTTTAAACTTCCAAATAGATAATTAATCACATTAAAAGTAAAATGTATTGGGAGGCTGAGGCGGGCAGATCACCTGAGGTTGGGAGTTTGAGAACAGCCTGACCAACTTGGAGAAACCTCGTCTCTACTAAAAATACAAAGTTAGCCGGGCATGGTGGTGCATGCCTGCAATCCCAGCTACTCGGGAGACTGAGAGCAGAAGAATCCCTTGAACCTGGGAGGCAGAGGTTGCAGTGAGCTGAGATCGCGCCATTGCACTCCCACCAGGGCAACAAGAGCGAAATTCCTTCTCAAAAAAAAAAAAAAAAAAGTAAAATGTAATGAAATAGATATTCCATTTATCAGACAGAGATTGTCAAACTGGACAAGAAAGGAAGACTCATTTATTTGCCCTTCATAAGAGAGGCATTTTAAATATAATGATACACACAGGTATGAAAGAATGAAAAAAATATCCTAATACTAAAAATAGGAAAACTAGAATGATTACATTAAAAACTGACAAATTAGACTTCTACATAAGGAACATCTCTAAATATAAAGATGGACTGTCACAATGACAAAAACATCAATACATCAAAAAGTCATAGTATGAAATGTATATGCAACTAATTACAGACCTTTAAAATAAATGAAGCAAAAACTTACCTATCCAAAGGGAAAAACAGAGAAAAATCCACAATGTAAATTGGAATTTTAACAACTATCTCTCAGCAGTTGATGAATCAAGTAGACCAAAAAAAATCAAGAAGGATATTGAAGATGTGAATAAATCTACAAGCTAAGTAACTTAATGAATATTTATAGAACACTACACCCAGAAACAGCTGAATACAATACACATGGAATATTTACTAAAATAACCTAATAAACCATGTGCAAGGATATTCAATGAGTCTTAATAATTTATGAAAACTAATGTCATTTACTGTATGTTCTATGACAACAACAGAATCACATTAGATTTTCATATCAATGACAAAAAAATACCTTGGGAAATCGCACAACATTTAGAAATTAAAATACTTTTAAAAAATTCACGGCTTTTGTAATAAATCACAAGAGATACTAAAATATTTTGAACTCAATAATAAAACAATAATATCTCAAAATTCTTGAAGCACAGCCAAAAAACTGTTCAGAAGGAAATTTATAGCTTTATATGCCTATATTTGAAAGGAAGAAAGCCTTAACATTAATGATCTAGGATAAACCTTAACGAATTTTAAAAAGAAATGCAAATTAAGCACAAACTGGAAAGAAGGAAATAATAAATATGAGTAAAATACAATAAAATGAAAAACAGTTAAGTAAATCAATAAGACTAATATCTGGAATTAAAAAAAAAAGGTATATCACCACAGATCCGAAAGGAATTAAAAAAAAAAAAGGAAATATTATGAACAACTTTCCATGAACATTTTAGAAATTAGTTGAAGGGGAACAAGTTCATTCAGAGAGACAATTCACAAAACTGACAAAAAGAAGAAATAGTAAATATGAATAGGCCAATAACTATGAAATATTATTCCAAATGAAAAATTTTACACACAAAAATCCCTCACAATTGCAGATGACTCTGCTGGTGAGTTCTATCAAATTTAAACAAGAAATGCTGTAAATTCTATATAAACAACTTTAAAAAATGAATGAAGAGTCCAACATTCTGAAGTCTTTTCTTTTTTCCTTTTCTTTTTTTTTTTTTTTGTTTGTTTGTTTGTTTTGTTTTTTGAGACTGAGTCTCGCTGTCTCTCAGGCTGGAGTCCAATGGCACCATCTCGGCTCACTGCAACCTCAGCCTCCTGGGTTCAAGTGATATTCCTGCCTCAGCCTCCCGAGAGGAGCTGGGATTACAGGCAGGTGCCACCACGCCCGACAAATTTTTGTATTTTTAGTAGAGACAGGGTTTCACCATGTTTGCCGGGCTGGTCTTGAACTCCTGAGCTCTGGTGATCCACCCGCCTCCGCCTCCCAAAGGGCTGGGATTACAGGCGTGAGCCACCGCACCCAGCCAAGTCTTTTCTTGAGACCAGCAAAAACCCTAATACTGAAACCAGGAAAAGATATTATAAGGACAGAAAACTGTGCACCTATTTTTCACAGGAACAAAACACAAAAATCTTTAATAAAATATTTACAAAAAAATTAATAATATGTTAAAAGGGTAATAGAGCACGATAAAATAGAGTGTAGCCCAGAAATGTCAACACACTTTAAAATTTAAAATCAGTTAATACATTTCCGTGACTCATTAACTGAATAGAAAAGAAAAATAAATGATCTCATCACTAAGTTCAGAGAAAACGTGGCAAAATTCAACACTGATTCATGATCTAAAAAGAAACTCTGCAGCAATTATAAATAGGATGGAATTTTCTTCCTCCAGTAAAGAACATCTATAAAAACTTTGTAAATAATATCAGACTTAATATTTGGAAACTTATTTCCTTTCAGCACTAGAAATCAAGCTAGCATGCCTGCTATCACCGTTTCTACTTCTATTCAATATTGCATTAGAAATTAAAGCCAACGTGATAAGTAAGTAAATAAGTAAAATCACAAAGATTAGAAAAGAAGATGTAAGACTGTCTTTTTTCATAAATGACATGATTTTGTGTGTATATATATATATGTATATATAACCTAATGAATCTACATACAAAAGTACTAGGATTAATAAAGGACGTTAGAAAGCTCACAGACTGTAAGGTCAGCAATTATACATCAGGAAAATAAATTCTCATAAACTTTATAAAAACACTAAAAATTCAACATACTAAGGAAAAGTTTTAACAAATGGGCAAAACCTCTATACAAACATTTAGGAGATAAAAAAGACCCATATCAGTGAAGACATATGAAAAAGAAAATATTGTTAAGATGTCAAATTTCCCCAGATTGATCTATAAACTCAGTGCAAATAAGGTAAAACTCCCATTAGGCATTTTGTAGAAACTGATAAGCTTTTTCTATCATTTACATGAGGCTGTGTAGGAACTAGCCTAACCAAAACAATTATGAAAAACAAGAATCAAGTTGAAGGGCTTACATTATCTGATTTCAAGTTTTACTCTAAATAAATAGCAAATAATTTTCCACACATTGTTGTTTTTGTAAATTACATTTCAGTGGATCATAGCCACAGCCATTCATTTATATATTATCTATGGCTATTGTCATGCTATAATGACAGACCTGAATAATTGTGAGAAAGACTTGATGACATGAAATTATAAAATAGTTATTATGTACCTCTTTTGGAAGAAGTTTACCAACCACTACTCTAACATGACAGTAATCAAGGTAGTGGTGCTGGAAAAAGAGACAAGTAGAGCAATGGAGCCAACTAGAATCTGGAAATAGACCCATACTTAATATATTTTATATTTTTGAAAAAGACACCAAAGCAATACAATGAGAAAAGGTCAATCTTTGTAAACAAATAATGTTGGAAAATCAGTTATCCAAATAGAAAAAATGATTTTCTACCTCAAATCCCTACATAGAAATTAATTCAAACTTCTTGAAGGAGCCACAGGAGAACGTCTCCAGAACCTTCAGATAGTGACAGATTTTTTGACTAGGACGTAGAAATTAGTCGGGTAAGAAAACATTGATGAATTGAACTTTGTAAGAATTTTAAAGCTCTGTTCATCAAAATGCCCAAATTAAAGGACATTCTGAAAATACCTAAGTGGAACTCTGAAAAATTGTCATGAAAGACAAGGGAAACCTGAGAAACTGTCATACAATGGGAGGGAAATGGGAGTCATGACAAACAAATGTAATGTAGTATCCTGGATAGGGTACTGGATTGGATCCTGGAACAGAAAAAAAATGTTAATATAAAAATTGGAAAAGTATAAATAAAGCCTGTTATTTAATGGCAAATAATAAAGTAGGACAGTTAATAGTATTGTCCCAACGTTAATTTCTTAATCTTGATAAATATAACATGGTTATATAAGATGTTAACATCAGAGGAAGCTAAGTGAAGGTTATTTGGGAACTTTCTGTATCATCTTTGCAACTCTTCTGTAAGTCTAAAATTATTTTGAAATAAAAGTACTGAAGGATAAAAGGCTGTTATGAAAGTGAGTAGGCATGTCAAAGGCAAGGAGAAAATTTATCTATATGTAAAAATATATGTGTGTACACACACACATGCACACACATGCATATATGTCTTGTAACAGACTATACCCACAATGTATACACAACTGCTACAACTCAATAACAACGTGACACACAACTCAATTAAAAGTGAGCAAAAGACTAAAACAGACCCTTCACAAAAGAAGATATGCAAAGTGGCCAATAGGCATATGAAAAATTGCTCAACAGCATTAGTCATCAGAGAAAATGCAAATTAAAACCACAATGAGATACCACTACACCCCCACTAGAATGGCTAAATTTATAAAGAACAACACCAACTGTTGTCAAGGATGTAGAGCAACCCAAATTTCCATACATCGTTGGTGACAGTGAAAATGAAGGGACCATTTTGAAGAACAGTTTGGCAGAATCTTATAAAGTTAAACATACATCTACACCAAGACCCAGTAATCCCACTTGTAGGTACTTACCCAAGAGGAATGGAAACATATGTATGCAAAAAGACTTGAACAAAAAATACTCAAGTACTGTTTAAATATAAATACTGTTTTAAGTACTATTTATTAAATAAAAATATTTTATATCACTGAATGCCTACTCTGCTATAGGTACTATACTAAGAGATTTCTAGATATAAACCTATTTATGCCTCACTAAATCTCTACCTAGCTACATGTGCTGTGAATTAATTCATCTATTCCACAGCAATTTATTAAGAGCTTATGGTGTGCCCAACAATGTTTTAGACAATAGAGACATAGCAAAGTAGATACCAGGTTCCCTGATCTCATAAACTGGCATGCTAGATGGAGAGGCAAGTGATAAGCATATTAAGACAACATTGACATGAATAGCAATGTTGTCCCAATTTTAGAGATGAGGCTTGAGAGGTGGATAATGGGATTTGCATGCAATTCCTTTGATCCAAGACCCAGAACCCATGACTACTACACTACACTCTCATGCCAAAACGAGTAACTTATTTCTTGTCTCCCACGATGATGTTCCTCCTCTCAAGTTGTTGCCACTTTAACAAGTAGATAGACATTAAAATACACTTGCATAAGTAATTGTAGTTACATTCATAATAAGGAAAATAAACTGTCCAGTTTTCTAAACGGAAAAAAGACTGAGTCTGTGGTTTCCATGAGGAAGAGACAAGCACAGATCTGAAGGCTGCAGTTGTCTCGATAAGAGGATGAATGCATAGCATTTTGCCTGACACCAATTCAAAATAGTGTAGGCCAAATTATTTCTCCTCTGTATTCTTAATTGGTTGCATATGTCACATAGATACTATTCTTCGTTCCTATACTATCCTAGGAATCATAAAGTGTTCTGCTAATATAAACACACAGCATGAAAATATATAATCCTCTATTGTATAAGTAAGGTAGAATAATTAATTTGCCAGAACAACCCAATTTCCTCTAAGCTATTCTGTCTTTGGAGAGGCTTTGTGGCTCTTTTTTTAACTAGCAATATGAAATTTCATTATAGATAGCTATATAAAGAAATGAGGCAACACTACATAAATGGAGTGCTAGATTTCTCTTATTTCATTCATTCTGAATTAGCCTCAAAATAAGAGACATAAAACACGGCATGGAAAATTCACCCTTTGATTAAAGCATCCCAACAACCAGTACAGAATTATGTACTGATACAAAGCATATATTAAATATGATTAGCTGAGTAAACTCTAATGATTTCCATCTATGACAATATTTTGTAAGATAAAAAAGCTTTCCACTAATATTTCTACCATTTCTTCATATTTTGTAAATACAGTCCAGCAATATCAATTAATGTGTAGATCCCTGGATGTCACATTCAATTTTAGCACTTCCCACATTGGGAGCATGCAGTTTCCTTTGCCTGAAAAGCACTTATCCCATTTTCTGCATGAGGAAAATCAGTTAAGGCATCACTTTCTCTGAAAAGTCTTTTCTGACATCCTCAGAGAAAGAGTTATTCACATTCCTCTTGGAATCAGCTCCACACCTTACACATATTCATGTCGATTTCTGTACTCATGGCACTCTATCGTATCATTTATTTACACATCTCTGCTTTTGACTCTGTCTCCTAAATATTTCCCAATCATCTCTTCACATCACCACCTTCAAGGAGTAATACTCGAGATATTTTACACTTAGAATGAGATGCAAACTAATCAATCAGAACAAACAGTGGCTCCATACAACCAGCACAGCTTTATTGCGTGAATAGGAATCCTTCTTCCACACTCTATTGCTACTATCTTAGGAAAGGCCACTATCATCTCTGCTTTGCCTCTTGAAATAGTTCCTTAAGGCCTCCCTACCTCATGACCTGCATGATCTTTCTATAACATTAATCTATAACTACTCTAAGATTAGGATGGAGTTTCACCTTCCCAGAAAATTATTTCTGTTTTGTTTTGCTTTTATTTTTAATTATTTTTAGTTTTAATTTTTGTGGTATACATAGTAGGTGTGTACATTTACGGGGTACATGAGATGTTTTGATACAGGCATGCAATGTAAAATAATCAAATCATGGAGACTGGGGTATGTATCCCCTCGAGCATTTATCCTTTGTGTTACAAACAATCTAATTATACTCTTTTAGTCATTTAAAAATGTACAATTTATTATGACTATAGTTACTCATTGTGCTATCAAATAGTATGTCTTATTCATTCTTCTAATTATTTTCCTCCCCCAGCTCCCCCCCAACCTCCCCAGCCTCTAGTAATCATCCTTCTACTCTCTATGTCCATGAGTTCAATTGCTTTGATTTTTTAGACCGCACTAATAAGTGAGAACATGCGACATTTGTCTTTCTACGCCTGGCTTATTTTACTTAACATAATAATCTCCACTTCCATCCATGTTGTTGCAAATGACAGCATCTCATTCTTTTTTTATGGCCAAATAGTACTACATTGTGTACATGTACCATATTTTCAAAAAATTCTTTTTGAACATAAATCAAAAGCACAAAGTTCTCTCAGTAACCATATTTAAAAACATCTTTTATTACATAGCATTTGTGAATTTTAATTATTGAAGCCTAGGTTTTCACTATGGCCTTGAGGATAATAAATGTTTTGTTTTGTTTTGTTTTGTCTGAGATGGAGTCTCATTTCTTGTCACCCAGGCTGTAGTGCAATGGCATGATCTTGGCTCACTACAACCTCCAACTCATAAACAGATATTTTTATTTTCATATCTATGAGTGTAAATGCCTACCCTTATGTCCAGCATTTAGGGTTCACTTAAAAAATCATTATGGGAAGAAGACAAAGGGGAAGAAAAAATTCATTTCCCATGAGGATTTGTATATCTCCAAGGTTTTACACCTTCTGCTTTCATCCCTTGAAGTAATATCCATAGTTGCTTAGAGGCTCATAATCACATTCTTTCTATATGGTAACCAAACTAATGATGATCACATTGTAGTAACAATCATAACACCAACAGTATTTTGATTATTTGTACCCATACTAATAATTGATCACAGTATAGTTTTAAAGAAAAATAAAAATATTTGCCTATAATAATTGAGAAAGTGGCAACATCACAAATGTACTAAATGCCTCATTATAGGGGTACTTTCTCAAAAACAGATTTAATTTCATAGCAAAAGTGATGGTTCTGTCCTACATCAAAAGAGAGAAGGAGCGGTTAAAAAGACAGATCAAAGTTCCTAAATAATCTTGCTCTTTTCTTTTCTAAACTGCATAAAACTCTGTTATGTTTATATCTAAAAGTTGACCTTTAAATTGTTCTTTTCAGTTTGTAAAATATACAATCTTTGGGAAAAATTGATAAAAATCAAGAATTACACACAAACTTGGGTAATCACTGTTCCCCAGTTCTATTTCACATAAACTGTTCTTATTAAGCTACTAGTTAAGACAAAACCAAACAAGGCTTGTTCATCACTCAAACTGAAAATGTGGGATAATATTCTGGAATAAAAAATATATCCAAGTACTATTTTTACCATAGGTATATTATGTATGTCTTGTTTTCATAATTAATGGTTATCTTTGTTTGCTACAGCTGACACAACAAAGTACTACAAACTAGGTGACTTAGGCAAAATAGATTTATTGTCTCACAGTTCTGGAGGCAAGAAGCTCAAAATTAAGGTGTCTGCAAGACTGGTTCCTTCTGAGGGCTGTGAGGGAAGAATCTGTTCCAGACCTCTCTCCTAGGCTCATGGATGATCATCTTCTCCCTACGTCTCTTCATATTGTCTTCCCATTATGAATGTCTCTGTGCCATTCCCTTTTTATGAGAACACTGGTCATACTGAATTAGGAGCTACCTTCCTAACCTCACTTTAACTTGATTTCCTCTGAAAGACCCTATTTCTAAATAACGACTCATTCAGAGGAACTGGAAGTTAGTACTTTAAAATATGAATTTGAGTCACACAATTCAATCCATGGTTAATATTAACAAGACAGACTAATTCATTTTCAAACAGCATATTATAACAACATACTTGGGTTTTGGTAAAGCTCTACCCCTCGAATCTCCTGTAAGAAAGTATCTATAAAAGTCAATTAAAAGTGACTATTCCATGCTCAAGAGTTGGAAAAATCAATCTACTTAAAATGGCCATACTGCCCAAAGCAATCTTCAGATTCAACTCTATTCCTATCAAACTACAAAAGTCATTTGTTCACAAAATTATTTTTTTTAATCTAAAATTCATATGGAATGAAAAAAAGAGCCTGAATAGCCCAGGCAATACTAAGCAAAAAGAACAAAGCTGGAGGCATCACCTTACTCAACTTCAAACAATACCATAAGGCTACAATAACCAAAACAGCATGGTACTGACACAAAAATAGACATGTAGATCCTGAAATAAAGTTACACGCATACAGCCATCTGATTTTGACAAAGTCAATGAAAATAAGCAATGGGGAAGGGACTCTCTACTCAATAAATGGTGCTGGGATAGCTGGCTAGCCATATGCAGAAGAATGAAATGGGTCACCTACCTTTCCCATACAAAAAAACTAATTCAGGGTGGATTAAATATTTAAATATAAGACCTCAAACTATAAGAATCTTAGAAGAATACCTAGGAAATATCATTCTGGACATTAGCTTTGGGAAAGAATTTATGACTAAGTCCCCAAAAGTAATTGCAACAAAAATAAAAATTGACAAGTGGGACCTAATTGAACTAAAGAGCGTCTGCACAGCAAAAGGATTGACAGAGTAAACACATGACCTACAGACTGGGAGAAAATATTAGCAGAGAATGCATCCAACAAAGGTCTAGTACTCAGAATCTACAAGGAATTCATATGATTAAACAAGCAAAAAAAATTAAAAACTGGGCAAAAAATATGTTCAGACACTTCTCAAAAGAAGACATACAAGAGCAAACAAACACATGAAAAAATGTTCAACATCCCTAATCATCAAAGGAATACAAATCAAAACCACAGTGAGATACCATCACACACCAGTCAGAACGGCAATTATTGCAAAGATAAAAAGAAAAAAGAAAAAAAAAAACAAAAAAACAAGAGATGCTGGTGGGGCTGTGGATAAAAGGGAACGCTTACACACTGTTGGTGGGAATGTAAATTAGAACAACCACTGTGGAAAGCAGTTTGGAGAGAGGACTTAAAATATTAAGAACTACTTAAGCTACTTAACTACCTGAACTACCAAATTGTTAAAATAATAACAGAACTACCATTCGACCCAGCAATCCCATTACTGGATATATATTCAATGGAAAATAAATCATTCTACCATGAAAACACATGCACTAGTATGTTCATTGCAGCACTGTTCGCAATAGCAAAAGACATGGAACCAACCTAAGTGCCCATCAACAGCGGATTCATAAAGAAAATGTGGTATATATATACAATGGAATACTATGCAGCCATTAAAAAGAACAAAATCATGTCAGTTGCTGCAACATGGATGCAGCTGGAGACCATTATCCTAAGTGAATTAATGCAGGAATGGAAAACCAAATACTGTATATTATCATTTATAACTGGGAGCTAAACACTGGATACTCATGGACATACAGATGGCAGCAATAGACTCTGGGGCTAATAGTAGGGGAGGGAGGACAATGGCTGGCAAGGGTTGAAAAACTAACTGTTGCATACTGTGCTCACTATCTGGGTGATGGGCTCATTTATATCTGAGGCCTCAGCATTCATACAGTATATCTGTAATAAACCTGCACGTGCACCTCCTGAATCTCAAATAAAAGTTGAAATTATTTTAAAAATTAAAAATAAAATACAGATAAATTTCCTTCCCAAAAAACTCCACAACTGACAGTTAATAGAAATTGCAACAAAAATCACACACACTGGAAATGTTAACTACAATGAAGCTGGAGATGAGCTATAATATTACTAAAATTTAGCTTCCTCATCATTCTGTTGCTTTTTCAAAAACAAATTCATTTCAGTCAGTCATTTTTGGCCACATTTCATTTGAAGCAAGAAAGCAGATGTTTTTCATATAGTTGTACTCTTCCCATGCCAAAAATATCAGCTAAGTGTGATTTCATTCCAGAACTTCATGATCGCAGCTCCAGGGAGCACAGTGATGTGCTCATCACCTGACACTTTTGCTTAAATGGTTACAAATGTGTTTGCTGATTATATGACCAGAGTGCAGACACTCTTCTCCCACCTCTTCCCAAGGCTTGCCCTCCCATTCTTCACAGCCCAGCTTAAATAAAACCTCCTTGAAACTCCAACCTCTTGTTCTAAAACAGTTCCTCCATCCATAAGCTACTCTCTCATACATCCACCTGCTTAGTTCCTGCACAGAATACTGTGTAATTTTCTTAATTGCATGTTGACTTGATTATTGTTTGTCTCCTGCACTAGAATAAGCATCATAAGAGAAAACATCTGGTCTGTCTTGTTCATCTTTTTATCTCCCAGATATAGTGTCTGACCTAGAGCAAATGCTTAATGAGTATTTGTTGAATAAATAAAATGAAAACAAGAGATTTGCCTTTTCTCTATCCCTAAAAGTATATATACGTGTGTGTGTGTGTGTATGTGTGTGTAAATTGGGTCATCCATATAAGGTGTACTGCCTCCAAATGGTCCTTAATGTGCATGTAAAATTATGTGCTCTAAATTATGAAACACGTACAGTGGCTCCATAATCACTTAGATTCATGGCTATGAGGTCTCCCAGATGTCTCAGCCAAGATTAATGTCTACATACCACTCGAAATTCTAGTCATCTCAAGCCTTCGCTTGAATTTTGAATCAAACCAATCTCTTTCATTTATCTGTGAGAGTTTAGGAAATTGATTAATCTTTCTAATCTCTACTTTCGTCACATTAAATATACTTTACTCTCATAATTGTTAATGACTTTAAGATGAGAAAATGTATGTGAACCCAAGCCTTACCAGAGAACATGCTCATTAGGGAGTAGCCATAATAGCATTCATCCGTATTTGTCAATGCTGCCATGCATAATAATGTATGATAAATTTAGGTCAGTTAATGTCAACTGCTACTGAGTTCACTTGAATATGGCTTAGATAGGTAGAAAAAAGGACCATGTTAAGCAAAATAAACCCTGTTTCTAAAGTTAATCTCTTCTTCGGGTGACATTATTTTTCATTAAAATATCCCTTCTTATCATTCCCACATTAAAATCTTCAAGTTTTTCTGAAGCTGTATTTAACATTTTGGGTAAATAAAAGTAAAAAGGGAATTAGAATTTTTTAAAAAAAATTCAAAAGTAAAAGGAACTGTTTTGTTTTCAGCAATATTTGGTCTATTATTAGAAAATATGTTCTTTTCTATTCGGGGGATAGTTTGCAAAACAGATCTTTTTATTTTGGAAAATGAATGAGTATATTATTGCCTACAACTGTAGCTATGAGAAACTCAATTTTACTAGAGATTTTTCTGTTTTTATTTTTCCTAAGCACTTTAATTAGCTAAAAAGAAAAAAAAAGGATGTTTAAGGTCTGGTATGCTTCACATATCCTATTAATTCCACAGTGGATTTAATTTCCTTTAAACGTCACTGAATTTTAATTACCATGCAAACGTATTATCTAAGCTTGTTAGAGTTAAAGGTTAGAAGAACATGTAGAAGAACTCATAAAGGAATTTATCTCTTTCATGTTAGTAACAAAAATAATTTGTAAATTGCTACTCCATGGCTGGAAATTTTTAAGATTATTTCCAATATACAAAGAATGTAATTCTGAAATAGCTTCATTTGATAAGTAAGAAAACATGCTCAATTTCAGTCTACGGACTAATCAACAGGTATCAAAAACAGACATAGTAACATAGGTAGAACAAAAAAACAAGCAGCATGCAGTATTAGAAACGTATGTGAAGAAGTCAGAGGCACTATTAACCTGACATGCAAAAGTCAGCCAGATTCCATGGCAGCTTTTCTGCCTGCTGCTTCATGGAGGTTTGTCAAGAGGCAGTTGCTATAGAAAATAAGCCTGGACTTTGTAGTGTCACTCCTAAGCCTTGGAGTCTTCACTCTGACATTTACTACATAAGTATTTTACTTTATCTCTCACCTTTATTTTCCTCAAATGCAAAATAGTACCTACTAGCAAGTCTGCATATAGTAGAACCTAAATAAATTAAAGACTTTTTTTACTGTTGTTGATAAAACTTAACTTCTTTGGATACATATATTGACCATCAATATTTTAGCTAATATCAATTGGTTGTGTAGTACATACCTGAAAGAAACTATGCTAAGGGCTTTATATGGATTCTTTCATTTAATGCTCATAACAACCCCAAGAGGTAGGTATTATTGCCACCCCTGCTTTGCAGATGAGGAAATTATGTGAGTTCGCCTTGCCTTCACTCAGGATGGGTGAATGAGTGCCTACCAACAATGTAATTTGCATGTAAGCAGGTTACTCCTTCTATGCCCGTATTACAGAAGATGGAAGTGAAGTTAAGAAAGGCAATGAAACTTCTCCAAAGATAAATAATAAGGGAGCAAACAAATTTGAACTTGGCATTTCATAACTTCAAGGGCAACGTTGTTTTTGATATGCCACACATTCCCTATATATTTGCTGTAGGGTTTGCAAATAAAGTAAAGATTTTTTTTTATTGAAAAAGTTTATAAATCAATGGATTTTATTATTGTAAGTTTCACTGTCTGGCACATTTCACCAAATGCTCATACTGAGAAGATGAATTTATTTTGTCCAGAAATTGTTTTGCTCAATCCATGTTCAAACAATCCAACAACAAGGTAGTGTGGACTGCTATCAGTATCCCAGGTGACAAAGATAAAGATGGAAATAAAGCTCTGACCCAAGAACTGAAAAACATTGGTACCCATGTCTATTAGTTCCCAACCCTTCAGATGTCTCCCCTTTTGTATCTAGTAACAACTTATACTTTACTTCAGAGAGTTAGCAAACATCTCACTTCTTTCATGTCTTTTGTCATGAGCCAATTTGTCAGAGAGGCTCCTATGCCCTGTTCTGCTCTGTGACTAAGTTTTGATGGCTCAGGGATTTCCTATGGTTTGAATATAAGAATTACCAAGACAGCAAGTGACACAATGAAGGTTATTATATAGAATATTCATTAGGTGTTTGGGACCCAGCCTTTCATAAAGATAGCTGTGATGAAGGGGTTATATTAGTGACCCTGAGAAAATATCTTACATCATTCTGGGAGAAGTAAAATGGTCCTACCTGCCAAAGTCAACATGGAAAACTATTGATCTAATAGGATATACGGGCTTCTCAGGGCTAGGGTTAACTCAGATTTGAGTTTTTCTCCAAAAATATATTTGTGTAGCAAAGGATGATATCCTTATTTTTAAAATGTGAGCTAGATTATAAGGGTTAGCTTTCATCTCAGTTTATAAGTAATGATAAATAACTACTGTTTTGTTTCTTTTTCCCCAGTGACATAGGTTGAAGTCAATTGAGGAAATATATAGATCATATACTTTTCTTTTTTAATGTATGTGCATCCTCATTGTTGCCTGGAAAAACACTTGAGGGGGGACTGGTGTAAACACTCTCTACAGATACCCAGGGTAAATTAGCTGGGCACTGCCGCTATTGCAGTGGTCCACCGCCTGCATTACTGCATCATGTGCCCAAAAGGTGTCATAGTAATTCCCAGAACTGTGACTACAGTGGCATAAAAGTCAATTTAAAGGGCCAAATCTAATCAACACATCTTATCTAAATTCTGGCATGAAGGAAGGAAGTGCAACTGAAAATTTCTGATTTTTTTTTTTTTTTGAGACAGAGTCTCACTCTGTTGCCCATGCTGGAGTGCAGTGGCATGATCTCAGCTCACTGCAAGCTCTGCCTCCCGGGTTCACACCAGACTCCTGCCTCAGCCTCCCAAGTAACTGGGACTACAGGCGCCCGCCACCACACCCGCCACCACGCCCGGCTAATTTTTTGTATTTTTAGTAGAGTCGGGGTTTCCCCGTGTTACTCAGGATGCCCTCGATCTCCTGACCTCGTGATCGGCCCGCCCCAGCCTCCCAAAGTGCTAGGATTACCGGTGTGAGCCACTGCACCTGGCCAATTTCTGATTTTTTCATGAGAGAATGCTGAGGTACATTTGAAGAAAAGAATTTTAGCCAATCATTCTCCATTGAATGGGGGAAGATTCTATTCTTAACATTTTATACAAAATAAAAAGTATGAACAGTAAGAATTCCTTTGAGAATAGGGAAAAGCAGTCATTTTTCAGAAACCCTGAGCTAGAAAAATTCCAATGGCTTAAAAAATGAATTATTTACAGTTTCAATCCATCTCCCAAGTGGAGGCCTCATACAGACCTCAGTAGTTGTGGACATTACTTACCCCTGTTGACATAACTTAACTGAGAAACAGGTAGTCAGGATTGCCTTGTAATGTTTCTAATAGTAAATTAAAATCTTCTGAATGTCCTTGACTTTTGTGATGGTTCATAGTAAAAAATCGCATTTGACTGTGAGAACTGAAATTATATCTGTTACTATCTATGACCCCAACATAAAACAAGTTTTTTATAGGTGATGCTACTAGACTATAAAATTATTCTTGATTATTGAGAGCACAACATTCATAAACACTGCATCCTGCATAAGTCAAAGACTTCTAGGAGTTACTCTAAAAATACTCACATCATGGAGATATTTTGATTCATGCACAGTAACAGAAAAGAGATGCTGATAAAGTCACTGGGTACATTGAGAGGTCACCTTAAAGCATGCTCATTATTTTCAAATGTAGAAAAAGACATATGACAAACTGCAATTTATAAATTAATATCAGAACTCTTTGTATCATACCTACAAATTATTGAGTTATGCTTAGATATTAAATTTTAG